>NT_187370.1:0-161471 GCF_000001405.40 Homo sapiens
GAATTCTCAGAAACCAGTTTGTGATGTGTGTACTCAACTAACAGGGTTGAACCTTTCTTTTGAGAGAGCACTCTTGAAACACTCTTTTTGTAGAATCTGCAAGGGGATATTTTGTCAGCTTTGAGGATTTCGTTGGAAAAGGGATATCTTCATATAAAATCTCGACAGAAGCATCCTCAGAAACATCTTTGGGATGTTTGCATTCAAGTCACAGAGTTGAACATTCCCTTTCATGGAGCAGGTTTGAAACACTCTTTTTGTGGAATCTGGAAGTAGACATTTGGATCGCATTGAGGCCTACGGTGAAAAAGGGAATATCTTCGAATAAAAACTAGACAGAAGCATTCTCATAAACTAGTTTGTGATCTGTGTGCTTAACTAACAGAGCTGAACCTTTCTTTTCATAGAGCGGTTTTGAAACACTCTTTTTGTAGAATCTGCATGTGGATATTTGGAAAGCTTTGAGGATTTCGTTGGAAACCGTAATATCTTCACATAAAATCTAGACAGAAGCATTCTCAGAAACGTCTTTGGGGTGTTAGCATTCAAGTCACAGAGTTGAACGTTCCTTTTCATAGAGCAGGTTTGAAACACTCTTTTTGTGGAATCTGGAAGTGGACATTTGGATCGCTTTGAGGCCTGCGGTGAAAAAGGTATATCTTCGCATAAAAACTAGACAGAAGTATTCTCATGAACTAGTTTGTGATGTGTGTGCTCAACTACCAGAGTTGAACCTTTCTTTGGATAGAGCAGTTTTGAAACACTCTTTTTGTAGAATTTGCATGTGGATATTTGGACAGCTTTGAGGATTTCGCTGGAAACGGGAAAATCTTCATATGAAATCGAGACACAAGCATTCTCAGAAACTTCTTAGGGATGTTAGCGTTCGAGTCACACAGTTGATCACTCCCTTTCATAGAGCAGGTTTGAAGCACTCTTTTTGTAGTATCTTGAAGTGGACGTTTTGATCGCTTTGAGACATAAGGTGAAAAAGGAAATATCTTGCCACAAAAACTACACAGAAGCATTCTCAGAAACTACGTTGTGATGTGTTTACTCAACTAACAGAGTTGAACCTTTCTTTTGATAGAGCAGTTTTGAAACACTCTTTTTGGAGAATCTGCAGGTGGATATTTGGATAGATTTGAGGATTTCCTTGGAAAAGGGAATATCTTCATATAAAATCTAGACCGAAGCCTTCGCAGAAACACCTTTGTGATGTTTGCATTGAAGTCAGAGAGTTGTACATTCCCTGTCATAGAGCAGCTTTGAAACACTCTTTTTGTAGTATCTGGAGATGCACAGTTAGATCACGTTGAGGCCTATGGTGAAATAGGAAATATCTTCGCATAAAAACTAGACGGAAGCAGTCTCCAAAACTTGCTTGGAATGTGTGTACTCAACTAACAGAGTTGAATCTTTCTTTTGATAGAGCAGTTTTGAAACACTCTTTTTGTAGAGTCTGCAAGTGGATATTTGGATAGCTTAGAGGATTTCGTTGGAAACGGGAATATGTCCATACAAAACCTAGACAGAAGCATTCTCAGAAAAATCTCTGTGAGGATTGCATTCAAGTCCCAGTGTTGAACATTCCCTTTCATGAAGCAGGTGTGAACACAAGATGTTGTAGTATATGGAAGTGGACATTTGGAGTGCTTTGTGACCTATTGTGAAAAAGGAAATATCTTCCCATATAAACTAGGCAGAAGCATTCTCAGAAACCAGGTTGTGATGTGTGTACTCAACTAACAGGGTTGAACCTTTCTTTTGAGAGAGCACGCTTGAAAAACTCTTTTTGTAGACTCTGCAATGGGATATTTGGACAGCTTTGAGGATTTCCTTGGAAACGGGATATCTTCATATAAAATCTCGACAGAAGCATCCTCAGAAACATCTTTGGGATGTTTGCATTCAAGTCACAGAGTTGAACATTCCCTTTCATGGAGCAGGTTTGAAACACTCTTTTTGTGGAATCTGGAAGGGGACCTTTGGGTCGCATTGAGGCCTACGGTGAAAAAGGGAATATCTTCGAATAAAAACTAGACAGAAGCATTCTCATAAACTAGTTTGTGATGTGTGTGCTTAACTAACAGAGCTGAACCTTTCTTTTCATTGAGCGGTTTTGAAACACTCTTTTTGTAGAATCTGCAAGTGGATATTTGGCTGGCTCTGAGGATTTCGTTGGAAACGGGAATACATTTAAAAAGCAGACGGCAGCATTCTCAGCAACTTCTTTGTGATGTTTCCATTGAAGTCCCAGTGTTGAACATTCCATTTGATAGAGCAGGTTTGAAACACGCCTTTTGTCATGTCTGGAAGCTGTCCATTTGGAGCACATTCCGGCTTGTGTTGAAAAAGGAAATATCCTCTCATAAAAACTAGACAGAAGCATTCTCTGAAACTTATTTGTGATGTGTGTACTCAACTAACAGAATTGAACCATCGTTTTGAAAGAGCAATTTTGAAACACTCTTTTTCTGGAATCTGCAAGTCGATATTTGTCTAGCATTGAGGATTTCGTTGGAAACGGGATTACATATAAAAGCAGACAGCAGCATTCCCAGAAACTTCTTTGTGATGTTTGCATTCAAGTCACAGAGTTTAACATTCCCTTTCATAGAGCAGGTTTGAAACACTCTTTTTGTAGTATCTGGATGTGGACATTTGGAGCGCTTTCAGGCCTATGGTGAAAAAGGAAATATCTTCCCCTGAAAACTAGACAGAAGCATTCTCAGAATCTTATTTGTGATGTGCGCCCCCAACTAACAGTGTTGAACCTTTCTTTTGATAGAGCAGTTTTGAAACACACTTTTTGTAAAATCTGCAAGAAGATATTTGGATAGCTTTGAGGATTTCGTTGGAAACGGGATTGTCTTCATATAAACTCTAGACAGAAGCTTTCTCAGAAACTTCATTGTGATGTTTCAACTGAAGTCACAGTGTTGAACAGTCCCTTTCATAGAGCAGGTTTGAAACACTCTTTTTGTAGTATCTGGAAGTGGACATTTGGAGCGCTCTCAGGACTACTGTGAAAAAGGAAATATCTTCCAATAAAAGCTAGATAGAAGCAATGTCAGAAATTTTTCATGATGTATCTACTCAGCTAACAGAGTTGAACCTTTCTTTTGAGAGACCAGTTTTAAAACACTCTTTTTGGGGAATATGCAAGTGGATATTAGGCCAGCTTGGAGGATTTCGTTGGAAACGGGAATCCATATAAAAAGCAGACAGCAGCATTGTCAGAAACTTCTTTCTCATGTTTGCATTGAAGTCCCAGAGTTCAACATTCCCTTTAATAGAGCAGGTCTGAAACACGCCTTTTGTCATATCTGGACGTTGTCCATTTGGAGCGCATTCCAGCTTGTCTTGAAAAAGGAAATATCCTCCCATAAAAACTAGATAGAAGCATTCTCAGAAACTTATTTGTGATGTGTGTACTCAACTAACAGAATTGAACCATCGTTGTGGAAGAGCAGTTTGGAAACACTCTTTTTGTGGAATCTGCAAGTGGATATTTGTCTAGCTTTGAGGATTTCGTTGGAAACGGGATTACATATAAAAAGCAGGCCGCAGCATTCCCAGAAACTTCTTTGTGACGGTTGCATTCAAGTCACAGAGTTGAACATTCCCTTTCATAGAGAAGGTTTGAAACACTCTTTTTGTAGTATCTGGATGTGGACATTTGGAGCGCTTTCAGGCCTATGGTGAAAAAGGAAATATCTTCCCCTGAAAACTAGACAGAAGCATTCTCAGAAACTTATTTGTGATGTGCGCCCTCAAGTAACAGTGTTGAACCTTTCTTTTGATAGAGCAGTTTTGAAACACTCTTTTTGTAAAATCTGCAAGAGGATATTTGGATAGCTTTGAGGATTTCGTTGGAAACGGGATTGTCTTCATATAAACTCTAGACAGAAGCATTCTCATAAATTTCTTTGGGATGTTTTAATTGAAGTCACAGTGTTGAACATTCCCTGTCATAGAGCAGGTTTGAAACACTCTTCTTGTAGTATCTGGAAGTGGACATTTGGAGCGCTCTCAGGACTACAGTGAAAAAGGAAATATCTTCCAATAAAAGCTAGATAGAAGCAATGTCAGAAACTTTTTCATGATGTATCTGCTCAGCTAACAGAGTTGAACCTTTCTTTTGAGAGAGCAGTTTTTAAACACTCTTTTTGTGGAATCTGCAAGTGGATATTTGTCTAGCTTTGATGATTTCGTTGGAAACGGGATTACATATAAAAAGCAGACAGCAGCATTCCCAGAAACTTCTTTGTGATGTTTGCATTCAAGTCACAGAGTTGAACATTCCCTTTCATAGAGCAGCTTTGAAACACTCTTTTTGTAGTATCTGGATGTGGACATTTGGAGCGCTTTCAGGTCTATGGTGAAAAAGGAAATATCTTCCCCTGAAAACTAGACAGAAGCATTCTCAGAAACTTATTTGTGATGTGCGCCCTCAACTAACAGTGTTGAACCTTTCTTTTGATAGAGCAGTTTTGAAACACTCTTTTTGTAGAGTCTGCAAGTGGATATTTGGATAGCTTAGAGGATTTCGTTGGAAACGGGAATATGTCCATACAAAACCTAGACAGAAGCATTCTCAGAAAAATCTCTGTGAGGATTGCATTCAAGTCCCAGTGTTGAACATTCCCTTTCATAAAGCAGGTGTGAACACAAGATGTTGTAATATATGGAACTGGACATTTGGAGTGCTTTGTGACCTATTGTGAAAAAGGAAATATCTTCCCATATAAACTAGGCAGAAGCATTCTCAGAAACCAGGTTGTGATGTGTGTACTCAACTAACAGGGTTGAACCTTTCTTTTGAGAGAGCACGCTTGAAAAACTCTTTTTGTAGACTCTGCAAGGGGATATTTGGACAGCTTTGAGGATTTCGTTGGAAACGGGATATCTTCATATAAAATCTCGACAGAAGCATTCTCAGAAACATCTTTCTTTGGGATGTTTGCATGCAAGTCACAGAGTTGAACTTTCCCTTTCATGGAGCAGGTTTGAAACACTCTTTTTGTGGAATCTGGAAGTAGACATTTGGATCGCATTGAGGCCTACGGTGAAAAAGGGAATATCTTCGAATAAAAACTAGACAGAAGCATTCTCATAAACTACTTTGTGATGTGTGCGGTTAACTAACAGAGCTGAACCTTTCTTTTCATAGAGCGGTTTTGAAACACCCTTTTTTTAGAATCTGCCTGTGGATATTTGGAAAGCTTTGAGGATTTCTTTGGAAACGGGAATATCTTCACATAAAATATAGACAGAAGCATTCTCAGAAACGTCTTTGGGGTGTTAGCATTCAAGTCACAGAGTTGAACGCTCCTTTTCATAGAGCAGGTTTGAAACATTCTTTTTGTGGAATCTGGAAGTGGACATTTGGATCGCTTTGAGGCCTGCGGTGAAAAAGGTATATCTTCGCATAAAAACTAGACAGAAGTATTCTCAGGAACTAGTTTGTGATGTGTGTGCTCAACTACCAGAGTTGAACCTTTCTTTTGATAGAGCAGTTTTGAAACACTCTTTTTGTAGAATTTGCATGTGGCTATCTGGACAGCTTTGAGGATTTCGTTGGAAACGGGAAAATCTTCATATGAAATCGAGACACAAGCATTCTCAGAAACCTCTTTGGGATGTTAGCGTTCGAGTCACACAGTTGATCACTCCCTTTCATAGAGCAGGTTTGAAGCACTCTTTTTGTAGTATCTGGAAGTGGACGTTTTGATCGCTTTGAGGCGTAAGGTGAAAAAGGAAATATCTTGCCACAAAAACTACACAGAAGCATTCTCAGAAACTACGTTGTGATGTGTTTACTCAACTAACAGAGTTGAACCTTTCTTTTGATAGAGCAGTTTTGAAACACTCTTTTTGGAGAATCTGCAGGTGGATATTTGGATAACTTTGAGGATTTCCTTGGAAAAGGGAATATCTTCATATAAAATCTAGACCGAAGCCTTCGCAGAAACACCTTTGTGATGTTTGCATTGAAGTCAGAGAGTTGTACATTCCCTGTCATAGAGCAGCTTTGAAACACTCTTTTTGTAGTATCTGGAGATGCACAGTTAGATCACGTTGAGGCCTATGGTGAAATAGGAAATATCTTCGCATAAAAACTAGACGGAAGCAGTCTCCAAAACTTGCTTGGAATGTGTGTACTCAACTAACAGAGTTGAATCTTTCTTTTGATAGAGCAGTTTTGAAACACTCTTTTTGTAGAGTCTGCAAGTGGATATTTGGATAGCTTAGAGGATTTCGTTGGAAACGGGAATATGTCCATAAAAAACCTAGACAGAAGCATTCTCAGAAAAATCTCTGTGAGGATTGCATTCAAGTCCGAGTGTTGAACATTCCCTTTCATGAAGCAGGTGTGAACACAAGATTTTGTAGTATATGGAAGTGGACATTTGGAGTGCTTTGTGACCTATTGTGAAAAAGGAAGTATCTTCCCATATAAACTAGGCAGAAGCATTCTCAGAAAGCAGTTTGTGATCTGTGTACACAACTAACAGGGTTGAACCTTTCTTTTGAGAGAACACTCTTGAAACACTCTTTTTGTAGACTCTGCAAGGGGATATTTTGACAGCTTTGAGGATTTCGTTGGAAACGGGATATCTTCATATAAAATCTCGACAGAAGCATCCTCAGAAACATCTTTGGGATGTTTGCATTCAAGTCACAGAGTTGAACATTCCCTTTCATGGAGCAGGTTTGAAACACTCTTTTGTGGAATCTGGAAGGGGACCTTTGGGTCGCATTGAGGCCTACGGTGAAAAAGGGAATATCTTCGAATAAAAACTAGACAGAAGCATTCTCATAAACTAGTTTGTGATGTGTGTGCTTAACTAACAGAGCTGAACCTTTCTTTTCATTGAGCGGTTTTGAAACACTCTTTTTGTAGAATCTGCAAGTGGATATTTGGCTGGCTCTGAGGATTTCGTTGGAAACGGGAATACATTTAAAAAGCAGACGGCAGCAGTCTCAGAAACTTCTTTGTGATGTTTCCATTGAAGTCCCAGTGTTGAACATTCCATTTGAGAGAGCAGGTTTGAAACACGCCTTTTGTCATGTCTGGAAGCTGTCCATTTGGAGCACATTCCGGCTTGTGTTGAAAAAGGAAATATCCTCTCATAAAAACTAGACAGAAGCATTCTCTGAAACTTATTTGTGATGTGTGTACTCAACTAACAGAATTGAACCATCGTTTTGAAAGAGCAATTTTGAAACACTCTTTTTCTGGAATCTGCAAGTCGATATTTGTCTAGCATTGAGGATTTCGTTGGAAACGGGATTACAAATAAAAAGCAGACAGCAGCATTCCCAGAAACATCTTTGCGATGTTTGCATTCAAGTCACAGAGTTTAACATTCCCTTTCATAGAGCAGGTTTGAAACACTCTTTTTGTAGTATCTGGATGTGGACATTTGGAGCGCTTTCAGGCCTATGGTGAAAAAGGAAATATCTTCCCCTGAAAACTAGACAGAAGCATTCTCAGAATCTTATTTGTGATGTGCGCCCCCAACTAACAGTGTTGAACCTTTCTTTTGATAGAGCAGTTTTGAAACACTATTTTGTTAAATCTGCAAGAGGATATTTGGATAGCTTTGAGGATTTCGTTGGAAACGGGATTGTCTTCATATAAACTCTAGACAGAAGCATTCTCAGAAATTTCTTTGGGATGTTTCAATTGAAGTCACAGTGTTGAACATTCCCTTTGTTAGAGCAGGTTTGAAACACTCTTCTTGTAGTATCTGGAAGTGGACATTTGGAGCGCTCTCAGGACTACCGTGAAAAAGGAAATATCTTCCAATGAAAGCTAGATAGAAGCAATGTCAGAAACTTTTTTATGATGTATCTGCTCAGCTAACAGAGTTGAACCTTTCTTTTGAGAGAGCAGCTTTGAAGCACTCTTTTTGTGGAATATGCAAGTGGATATTTGTCTAGCTTTGAGGATTTCGTTGGAAACGGGATTACATATAAAAAGCCGACAGCAGCATTCCCAGAAACTTCTTTGTGATGTTTGCATTCAAGTCACAGAGTTGAACATTCCCTTTCATAGAGCAGGTTTGAAACACTCTTTTTGTAGTATCTGGATGTGGACATTTGGAGCGCTTTCAGGCCTATGGTGAAAAAGGAAATATCTTCCCCTGAAAACTAGACAGAAGCATTCTCAGAAACTTATTTTGATGTGCGCCCTCAAGTAACAGTGTTGAACATTTCTTTTGATAGAGCAGTTTTGAAACACTCTTTTTGTAGAATCTGCAAGTGGATATTTGGATAGCCTAGAGGATTTCGTTGGAAACGGGAATATGTCCATACAAAACCTAGACAGAAGCATTCTCAGAAAAATCTCTGTGAGGATTGCATTCAAGTCCCAGTGTTGAACATTCCCTTTCATAAAGCAGGTGTGAACACAAGATTTTGTAGTATATGGAACTGGACATTTGGAGTGCTTTGTGACCTATTGTGAAAAAGGAAATATCTTCCCATATAAACTAGGAAGAAGCATTCTCAGAAACCAGTTTGTGATGTGCGTACTCAACTAACAGGGTTGAACCTTTCTTTTGAGAGAGCATGCTTGAAAAACTCTTTTTGTAGACTCTGCAAGGGGATATTTGGACAGCTTTGAGGATTTCGTTGGAAACGGGATATCTTCATATAAAATCTCGACAGAAGCATCCTCAGAAACATCCTTGGGATGTTTGCATGCAAGTCACAGAGTTGAACTTTCCCTTTCATGGAGCAGGTTTGAAACACTCTTTTTGTGGAATCTGGAAGTGGATATTTGGATCGCATTGAGGCCTACGGTGAAAAAGGGAATATCTTCGAATAAAAACTAGACAGAAACATTCTCATAAACTACTTTGTGATGTGTGTGGTTAACTAACAGAGCTGAACCTTTCTTTTCATAGAGCGGTTTGGAAACACTCTTTTTGTACAATCTGCCTGTGGATATTTGGAAAGCTTTGAGGATTTCTTTGGAAACGGGAATATCTTCACATAAAATCTAGACAGAAGCATTCTCAGAAACGTCTTTGGGGTGTTAGCATTCAAGTCACAGAGTTGAACGTTCCTTTTCATAGAGCAGGTTTGAAACACTCTTTTTGTGGAATCTGGAAGTGGACATTTGGATCGCTTTGAGGCCTGCGGAGAAAAAGGTATACCTTCGCATAAAAGCTAGACAGAATTATTCTCACGAACTAGCTTGTGATGAGTGTGCTCAACTACCAGAGTTGAACCTTTCTTTTGATAGAGCAGTTTTGAAACACTCTTTTTGTAGAATTTGCATGTGGCTATTTGGACACCTTTGAGGATTTCGTTGGAAACGGGAAAATCTTCATATGAAATCGAGACACAAGCATTCTCAGAAACCTCTTTGGGATGTCAGCGTTCAAGTCACACAGTTGATCCCTCCTTTCATAGAGCAGGTTTGAAGCACTCTTTTTGTAGTATCTGGAAGTGGACGTTTTGATCGCTTTGAGGCGTAAGGTGAAAAAGGAAATATCTTGACACAAAAACTACACAGAAGCATTCTCAGAAACTACGTTGTGATGTGTTTACTCAATTAACAGAGTTGAACCTTTCTTTTGATAGAGCAGTTTTGAAACACTCTTTTTGGAGAATATGCCGGTGGATATTGGGATAGCTTTGTGGTTTTCCGTGGAAAAGGGAATATCTTCATATAAAATCTAGACAGAAGCATTCGCAGAAACACCTTTGCGATGTTTGCATTGAAGTCAGAGAGTTCTACATTCCCTTACATAGAGCAGCTTTGAAACACTCTTTTTGTAGTATCTGGAGATGGACATTTAGATCGCTTTGAGGCCTATGGTGAAATAGGAAAATCTTCGCATAAAAACTAGATTGAAGCAGTCTCCAAAACTTGCTTGGAATGTGTGTACTCAACTAACAGAGTTGAATCTTTCTTTTGATAGAGCAGTTTTGAAACACTCTTTTTGTAGAGTCTGCAAGTGGATATTTGGATAGCTTAGAGGATTTTGCTGGAAACGGGAATATGTCCATACAAAACCTAGACAGAAGCATTCTCAGAAAAATCTCTGTGAGGATTGCATTCAAGTCCCGGTGTTGAACATTCCCTTTCATAAAGCAGGTGTGAACACAAGATTTTGTAGTATATGGAAGTGGACATTTGGAGTGCTTTGTGACCTTTTGTGAAAAAGGAAATATCTTCCCATATAAACTAGGCAGAAGAATTCTCAGAAACCAGTTTGTGATGTGTGTACTCAACTAACAGGGTTGAACCTTTCTTTTGAGAGAGCACTCTTGAAACACTCTTTTTGTAGAATCTGCAAGGGGATATTTTGTCAGCTTTGAGGATTTCGTTGGAAAAGGGATATCTTCATATAAAATCTCGACAGAAGCATCCTCAGAAACATCTTTGGGATGTTTGCATTCAAGTCACAGAGTTGAACATTCCCTTTCATGGAGCAGGTTTGAAACACTCTTTTTGTGGAATCTGGAAGTAGACATTTGGATCGCATTGAGGCCTACGGTGAAAAAGGGAATATCTTCGAATAAAAACTAGACAGAAGCATTCTCATAAACTAGTTTGTGATCTGTGTGCTTAACTAACAGAGCTGAACCTTTCTTTTCATAGAGCGGTTTTGAAACACTCTTTTTGTAGAATCTGCATGTGGATATTTGGAAAGCTTTGAGGATTTCGTTGGAAACCGTAATATCTTCACATAAAATCTAGACAGAAGCATTCTCAGAAACGTCTTTGGGGTGTTAGCATTCAAGTCACAGAGTTGAACGTTCCTTTTCATAGAGCAGGTTTGAAACACTCTTTTTGTGGAATCTGGAAGTGGACATTTGGATCGCTTTGAGGCCTGCGGTGAAAAAGGTATATCTTCGCATAAAAACTAGACAGAAGTATTCTCATGAACTAGTTTGTGATGTGTGTGCTCAACTACCAGAGTTGAACCTTTCTTTGGATAGAGCAGTTTTGAAACACTCTTTTTGTAGAATTTGCATGTGGATATTTGGACAGCTTTGAGGATTTCGCTGGAAACGGGAAAATCTTCATATGAAATCGAGACACAAGCATTCTCAGAAACTTCTTAGGGATGTTAGCGTTCGAGTCACACAGTTGATCACTCCCTTTCATAGAGCAGGTTTGAAGCACTCTTTTTGTAGTATCTTGAAGTGGACGTTTTGATCGCTTTGAGACATAAGGTGAAAAAGGAAATATCTTGCCACAAAAACTACACAGAAGCATTCTCAGAAACTACGTTGTGATGTGTTTACTCAACTAACAGAGTTGAACCTTTCTTTTGATAGAGCAGTTTTGAAACACTCTTTTTGGAGAATCTGCAGGTGGATATTTGGATAGATTTGAGGATTTCCTTGGAAAAGGGAATATCTTCATATAAAATCTAGACCGAAGCCTTCGCAGAAACACCTTTGTGATGTTTGCATTGAAGTCAGAGAGTTGTACATTCCCTGTCATAGAGCAGCTTTGAAACACTCTTTTTGTAGTATCTGGAGATGCACAGTTAGATCACGTTGAGGCCTATGGTGAAATAGGAAATATCTTCGCATAAAAACTAGACGGAAGCAGTCTCCAAAACTTGCTTGGAATGTGTGTACTCAACTAACAGAGTTGAATCTTTCTTTTGATAGAGCAGTTTTGAAACACTCTTTTTGTAGAGTCTGCAAGTGGATATTTGGATAGCTTAGAGGATTTCGTTGGAAACGGGAATATGTCCATACAAAACCTAGACAGAAGCATTCTCAGAAAAATCTCTGTGAGGATTGCATTCAAGTCCCAGTGTTGAACATTCCCTTTCATGAAGCAGGTGTGAACACAAGATGTTGTAGTATATGGAAGTGGACATTTGGAGTGCTTTGTGACCTATTGTGAAAAAGGAAATATCTTCCCATATAAACTAGGCAGAAGCATTCTCAGAAACCAGGTTGTGATGTGTGTACTCAACTAACAGGGTTGAACCTTTCTTTTGAGAGAGCACGCTTGAAAAACTCTTTTTGTAGACTCTGCAATGGGATATTTGGACAGCTTTGAGGATTTCCTTGGAAACGGGATATCTTCATATAAAATCTCGACAGAAGCATCCTCAGAAACATCTTTGGGATGTTTGCATTCAAGTCACAGAGTTGAACATTCCCTTTCATGGAGCAGGTTTGAAACACTCTTTTTGTGGAATCTGGAAGGGGACCTTTGGGTCGCATTGAGGCCTACGGTGAAAAAGGGAATATCTTCGAATAAAAACTAGACAGAAGCATTCTCATAAACTAGTTTGTGATGTGTGTGCTTAACTAACAGAGCTGAACCTTTCTTTTCATTGAGCGGTTTTGAAACACTCTTTTTGTAGAATCTGCAAGTGGATATTTGGCTGGCTCTGAGGATTTCGTTGGAAACGGGAATACATTTAAAAAGCAGACGGCAGCATTCTCAGCAACTTCTTTGTGATGTTTCCATTGAAGTCCCAGTGTTGAACATTCCATTTGATAGAGCAGGTTTGAAACACGCCTTTTGTCATGTCTGGAAGCTGTCCATTTGGAGCACATTCCGGCTTGTGTTGAAAAAGGAAATATCCTCTCATAAAAACTAGACAGAAGCATTCTCTGAAACTTATTTGTGATGTGTGTACTCAACTAACAGAATTGAACCATCGTTTTGAAAGAGCAATTTTGAAACACTCTTTTTCTGGAATCTGCAAGTCGATATTTGTCTAGCATTGAGGATTTCGTTGGAAACGGGATTACATATAAAAGCAGACAGCAGCATTCCCAGAAACTTCTTTGTGATGTTTGCATTCAAGTCACAGAGTTTAACATTCCCTTTCATAGAGCAGGTTTGAAACACTCTTTTTGTAGTATCTGGATGTGGACATTTGGAGCGCTTTCAGGCCTATGGTGAAAAAGGAAATATCTTCCCCTGAAAACTAGACAGAAGCATTCTCAGAATCTTATTTGTGATGTGCGCCCCCAACTAACAGTGTTGAACCTTTCTTTTGATAGAGCAGTTTTGAAACACACTTTTTGTAAAATCTGCAAGAAGATATTTGGATAGCTTTGAGGATTTCGTTGGAAACGGGATTGTCTTCATATAAACTCTAGACAGAAGCTTTCTCAGAAACTTCATTGTGATGTTTCAACTGAAGTCACAGTGTTGAACAGTCCCTTTCATAGAGCAGGTTTGAAACACTCTTTTTGTAGTATCTGGAAGTGGACATTTGGAGCGCTCTCAGGACTACTGTGAAAAAGGAAATATCTTCCAATAAAAGCTAGATAGAAGCAATGTCAGAAATTTTTCATGATGTATCTACTCAGCTAACAGAGTTGAACCTTTCTTTTGAGAGACCAGTTTTAAAACACTCTTTTTGGGGAATATGCAAGTGGATATTAGGCCAGCTTGGAGGATTTCGTTGGAAACGGGAATCCATATAAAAAGCAGACAGCAGCATTGTCAGAAACTTCTTTCTCATGTTTGCATTGAAGTCCCAGAGTTCAACATTCCCTTTAATAGAGCAGGTCTGAAACACGCCTTTTGTCATATCTGGACGTTGTCCATTTGGAGCGCATTCCGGCTTGTCTTGAAAAAGGAAATATCCTCCCATAAAAACTAGATAGAAGCATTCTCAGAAACTTATTTGTGATGTGTGTACTCAACTAACAGAATTGAACCATCGTTGTGGAAGAGCAGTTTGGAAACACTCTTTTTGTGGAATCTGCAAGTGGATATTTGTCTAGCTTTGAGGATTTCGTTGGAAACGGGATTACATATAAAAAGCAGGCCGCAGCATTCCCAGAAACTTCTTTGTGACGGTTGCATTCAAGTCACAGAGTTGAACATTCCCTTTCATAGAGAAGGTTTGAAACACTCTTTTTGTAGTATCTGGATGTGGACATTTGGAGCGCTTTCAGGCCTATGGTGAAAAAGGAAATATCTTCCCCTGAAAACTAGACAGAAGCATTCTCAGAAACTTATTTGTGATGTGCGCCCTCAAGTAACAGTGTTGAACCTTTCTTTTGATAGAGCAGTTTTGAAACACTCTTTTTGTAAAATCTGCAAGAGGATATTTGGATAGCTTTGAGGATTTCGTTGGAAACGGGATTGTCTTCATATAAACTCTAGACAGAAGCATTCTCATAAATTTCTTTGGGATGTTTTAATTGAAGTCACAGTGTTGAACATTCCCTGTCATAGAGCAGGTTTGAAACACTCTTCTTGTAGTATCTGGAAGTGGACATTTGGAGCGCTCTCAGGACTACAGTGAAAAAGGAAATATCTTCCAATAAAAGCTAGATAGAAGCAATGTCAGAAACTTTTTCATGATGTATCTGCTCAGCTAACAGAGTTGAACCTTTCTTTTGAGAGAGCAGTTTTTAAACACTCTTTTTGTGGAATCTGCAAGTGGATATTTGTCTAGCTTTGATGATTTCGTTGGAAACGGGATTACATATAAAAAGCAGACAGCAGCATTCCCAGAAACTTCTTTGTGATGTTTGCATTCAAGTCACAGAGTTGAACATTCCCTTTCATAGAGCAGCTTTGAAACACTCTTTTTGTAGTATCTGGATGTGGACATTTGGAGCGCTTTCAGGCCTATGGTGAAAAAGGAAATATCTTCCCCTGAAAACTAGACAGAAGCATTCTCAGAAACTTATTTGTGATGTGCGCCCTCAACTAACAGTGTTGAACCTTTCTTTTGATAGAGCAGTTTTGAAACACTCTTTTTGTAGAGTCTGCAAGTGGATATTTGGATAGCTTAGAGGATTTCGTTGGAAACGGGAATATGTCCATACAAAACCTAGACAGAAGCATTCTCAGAAAAATCTCTGTGAGGATTGCATTCAAGTCCCAGTGTTGAACATTCCCTTTCATAAAGCAGGTGTGAACACAAGATGTTGTAGTATATGGAACTGGACATTTGGAGTGCTTTGTGACCTATTGTGAAAAAGGAAATATCTTCCCATATAAACTAGGCAGAAGCATTCTCAGAAACCAGGTTGTGATGTGTGTACTCAACTAACAGGGTTGAACCTTTCTTTTGAGAGAGCACGCTTGAAAAACTCTTTTTGTAGACTCTGCAAGGGGATATTTGGACAGCTTTGAGGATTTCGTTGGAAACGGGATATCTTCATATAAAATCTCGACAGAAGCATTCTCAGAAACATCTTTCTTTGGGATGTTTGCATGCAAGTCACAGAGTTGAACTTTCCCTTTCATGGAGCAGGTTTGAAACACTCTTTTTGTGGAATCTGGAAGTAGACATTTGGATCGCATTGAGGCCTACGGTGAAAAAGGGAATATCTTCGAATAAAAACTAGACAGAAGCATTCTCATAAACTACTTTGTGATGTGTGCGGTTAACTAACAGAGCTGAACCTTTCTTTTCATAGAGCGGTTTTGAAACACTCTTTTTTTAGAATCTGCCTGTGGATATTTGGAAAGCTTTGAGGATTTCTTTGGAAACGGGAATATCTTCACATAAAATATAGACAGAAGCATTCTCAGAAACGTCTTTGGGGTGTTAGCATTCAAGTCACAGAGTTGAACGCTCCTTTTCATAGAGCAGGTTTGAAACATTCTTTTTGTGGAATCTGGAAGTGGACATTTGGATCGCTTTGAGGCCTGCGGTGAAAAAGGTATATCTTCGCATAAAAACTAGACAGAAGTATTCTCATGAACTAGTTTGTGATGTGTGTGCTCAACTACCAGAGTTGAACCTTTCTTTTGATAGAGCAGTTTTGAAACACTCTTTTTGTAGAATTTGCATGTGGCTATCTGGACAGCTTTGAGGATTTCGTTGGAAACGGGAAAATCTTCATATGAAATCGAGACACAAGCATTCTCAGAAACCTCTTTGGGATGTTAGCGTTCGAGTCACACAGTTGATCACTCCCTTTCACAGAGCAGGTTTGAAGCACTCTTTTTGTAGTATCTGGAAGTGGACGTTTTGATCGCTTTGAGGCGTAAGGTGAAAAAGGAAATATCTTGCCACAAAAACTACACAGAAGCATTCTCAGAATCTACGTTGTGATGTGTTTACTCAACTAACAGAGTTGAACCTTTCTTTTGATAGAGCAGTTTTGAAACAGTCTTTTTGGAGAATCTGCAGGTGGATATTTGGATAGCTTTGAGGATTTCCTTGGAAAAGGGAATATCTTCATATAAAATCTAGACAGAAGCCTTCGCAGAAACACCTTTGGGATGTTTGCATTGAAGTCAGAGAGTTGTACATCCCCTTTCATAGAGCAGCATTGAAACACTCTTTTTGTAGTATCTGGAGATGCACATTTAGATCACGTTGAGGCCTATGCTGAAATAGGAAATATCTTCGCATAAAAACTAGATGGAAGCAGTCTCCAAAACTTGCTTGGAATGTGTGTACTCAACTAACAGAGTTGAATCTTTCTTTTGATAGAGCAGTTTTGAAACACTCTTTTTGTAGAGTCTGCAAGTGGATATTTGGATAGCTTAGAGGATTTCGTTGGAAACGGGAATATGTCCATACAAAACCTAGACAGAAGCATTCTCAGAAAAATCTCTGTGGGGATTGCTTTCAAGTCCCGGTGTTGAACATTCCCTTTCATAAAGCAGGTGTGAACACAAGATTTTGTAGTATATGGAAGTGGACATTTGGAGTGCTTTGTGACCTTTTGTGAAAAAGGAAATATCTTCCCATATAAACTAGGCAGAAAAATTCTCAGAAACCAGGTTGTGATCTGTGTACTCAACTAACAGGGTTGAACCTTTCTTTTGAGAGAGCACTCTTGAAACACTCTTTCTGTAGACTCTGCAAGGGGATATTTTGACAGCTTTGAGGATTTCGTTGGAAACGGGAT
The DNA here is from genome assembly GCF_000001405.40 of Homo sapiens. Taxonomy (NCBI): domain Eukaryota; kingdom Metazoa; phylum Chordata; class Mammalia; order Primates; family Hominidae; genus Homo; species Homo sapiens. Next base: position 16,843 of record NT_187370.1, read on the forward strand.
ATCTTCATATAAAATCTCGACAGAAGCATCCTCAGAAACATCTTTGGGATGTTTGCATTCAAGTCACAGAGTTGAACATTCCCTTTCATGGAGCAGGTTTGAAACACTCTTTTTGTGGAATCTGGAAGGGGACCTTTGGGTCGCATTGAGGCCTACGGTGAAAAAGGGAATATCTTCGAATAAAAACTAGACGGAAGCATTCTCATAAACTAGTTTGTGATGTGTGTACTTAACTAACAGAGCTGAACCTTTCTTTTCATAGAGCGGTTTTGAAACACTCTTTTTATAGAATCTGCATGTGGATATTTGGAAAGCTTTGAGGATATCGTTGGAAACGGGAATATCTTCACATAAAATATAGACAGAAGCATTCTCAGAAACGTCTTTGGGGTGTTAGCATTCAAGTCACAGAGTTGAACGTTCCTTTTCATAGAGCAGGTTTGAAGCCCTCTTTTTGTGGAATCTGGAAGTGGACATTTGGATCGCTTTGAGGCCTGCGGTGAAAATGGTATATCTTCACATAAAAACTGGACAGAAGTATTCTCACGAACTAGTTTCTGATGTGTGTGCTCAACTAACAGAGTTGAACCTTTCTTTTGACAGAGCAGTTTTTAAACACTCTTTTTGGAGAATCTGCAGGTGGATATTTGGATAGCTTTTAGGATTTCCTTGGAAAAGGGAATATCTTCATATAAAATCTAGACAGAAGCCTTCGCGGAAACACCTTTTTGATGTTTGCATTGAAGTCAGAGAATTGTACATTCCCTTTCATAGAGCAGCTTTGAAACACGCTTTTTGTAGTATCTGGAGATGGACATTTAGATCGCTTTGAGGGCTATGGTGAAATGGGAAATATCTTCGGATAACAACTAGTCGGAAGCAGTCTCCAAAACTTGTTTGGAATGTGTGTACTCAACTAACAGAGTTGAATCTTTCTTTTGATAGAGCAGTTTTGAAACACTCTTTTTTTACAGTCTGCAAGTGGATATTTGGATAGCTTAGAGGATTTCGTTGGAAACGGGAATATGTCCATACAAAACCTAGACAGAAGCATTCTCAGAAAAATCTCTGTGAGGATGGCATTCAAGTGCCAGTGTTGAACATTCTCTTTCATAAAGCAGGTGTGAACACAAGATTTTGTAGTATATGGAACTGGACATTTGGGGTGCTTTGTGACCTATTGTGAAAAAGGAAATATCTTCCCATATAAACTACGCAGAAGCATTCTCAGAAACCGGTTTGTGATGTGTGTACTCAACTAACAGGGTTGAACCTATCTTTTGAGAGAGCACTCTTGAAACACTCTTTTTGTATATTCTGCAAGGGGATATTTTGACAGCTTTGAGGATTTCGTTCGAAACTGGAATATCTTCACATAAAATCTAGACAGAAGCATTTTCAGAACCGTCTTTGGGGTGTCAGCATTCAAGTCACATATTTGAACGTTCCTTTTCATAGAGCAGGTTTGAAACACTCTTTCTGTGGAATCTGGAAGTGGACATGTGGATCGCTTTGAGGCCTGTGGTGAAAAAGGTGTATCTTCGCATAAAAACTAGACAGAAGTATTCTCATGAACTAGTTTGTGATGTGTGTGCTCAACTACCAGAGTTGAACCCTTCTTTTGATAGAGCAGTTATATACACTCTTTTTGTGGAATTTGCATGTGGATATTTGGACAGCTTTGAGGATTTCGTTGGAAACGGGAAAATTTTCATATGAAATCGAGACACAAGCATTCTCAGAAACCTCCTTGGGATGTTAGCGTTCGAGTCACAGAGTTGATCACTCCCTTTAATAGAGCAGGTTTGAAGCACTCTTTTTGTAGTATCTGGAAGTGGACGTTTTGATCGCTTTGAGGCGTAAGGTGAAATAGGAAATATCTTGCCTCAAAAACTACACAGAAGCATTCTCAGAAACTTATTTGTGATGTGCGCCCTCAACTAACAGTGTTGAACCTTTCTTTTGATAGAGCAGTTTTGAAACACTCTTTTTGTAAAATCTGCAAGAAGATATTTGGATAGCTTTGAGGATTTCGTTGGAAACGGGATTCTCTTCATATAAACTCTAGACAGAAGCATTCTCAGAAACTTCATTGGGATGTTTCTATTGAAGTCGCAGTGTTGAACAGTCCCTTTCATGGAGCAGGTTTGAAACACTCTTTTTGTAGTATCTGGACGTGGACATTTGTAGCGCTTTCAGGGCTATATTGAAAAAGGAAATATCTTCCCATAAAAACTAGACAGAAGCATTCTCTGAACCTAGTTTCTGAGATGTGTCCTCAACTAACAGAGTTGAACATTTCTTTTGACAGAACAGTTTTGAAACACTCTTTTTGTGGAATCTGCAAGTGGATACTTTGCTGGCTTTGAGGATTTCGTTGGAAACGGGAATACATATAAAAAGCAGACAGCAGCGTTGTGAGAAACTTCTTTGTGATGTTTGCATTCAAGTCACAGAGTTGAACGTTCCGTATCATAGAGCAGGTTGGAAACATGCCTTTTGTCATATCTGGAAGTGTCAATTTGAAGCGCATTCAACCTTGTGTTGAAAAAGGAAATACCTTCCAATAGAAACCAGACAGAAGCATTCTCAGAAACTTATTTGTGATGTGTGTACTCAAATAACAGAATTCAACAATCGTTTTGAAGGAGCAGTTTTGAAACACTCTTTTTGTGGAATCTGCAAGTGCATATTTAGCTAGATTTGACGATTTCGTTGGAAACGGGATTACATATAAAAAGCAGACAGCAGCATTCTCAGAAACTCCTTTGTGATGTTTGCATTCAAGTCACAGAGTTGAACATTCCCTTTCATAGAGCAGGATTGAAAAACTCTTTTTGTAGAATCTGGATGTGGACATTTGGAGTGCTTTCAGGCCTATGGTGAAAAAGGAAATATCTTCCCCTGAAAGCTAGACAGAAGCACTCTCAGAAACTTAATTGTGATGTGTGCCCTCAACTAACAGTGTTGAACCTTTCTTTTCATAGAGCAGTTTTGAAACACAATTTTGTTAAATCTGCAAGAGGATATTTGGATAGCTTTGAGGATTTCGTTGGAAACGGGATTGTCTTCATATAAACTCTAGACAGAAGCATTCTTAGAAATTTCTTTGGGATGTTTCAATTGACGTCACAGTGTTGAACATTCCCTTTGATAGAGCAGGTTTGAAACACTCTTCTTGTAGTATCTGGAAGTAGACATTTGGAGCGCTCTCAGGACTACAGTGAAAAAGGAAATATCTTCCAATAAAAGCTAGATAGAAGCAATGTCAGAAACTTTTTCATGATGTATCTGCTCAGCTAACAGAGATGAACCTTTCTTTTGAGAGAGCAGCTTTGAAACACTCTTTTTGTGGAATATGCAAGTGGATATTTGTCTAGCTTTGAGGATTTCGTTGGAAACGGGATTACATATAAAAAGCAGACAGCAGCATTCCCAGAAACTTCTTTGTGATGTTTGCATTCAAGTCACAGAGTTGAACATTCCCTTTCACAGAGCAGGTTTGAAACACTCTTTTTGTAATATCTGGATGTGGACATTTGGAGCGCTTTCAGGCCTATGGTGAAAAAGGAAATATCTTCCCCTGAAAACTAGACAGAAGCATTCTCAGAAACTTATTTGTGATGTGTGTAGTCAACTAACAGTGTTGAACCTTTCTTTTGGTAGAGCAGTTTTGAAACACTCTTTTTGTAAAATCTGCAAGAGGATATTTGGATAGCTTTGAGGATTTCGTTGGAAACGGGATTGTCTTCATATAAACTCTAGACAGAAGCATTCTCAGAAATTTCTTTCGGATGTTTCAATTGAAGTCACAGTGTTGAACATTCCCTGTCATAGAGCAGGTTTGAAACACTCTTTTTGTAGTATCTGGAAGTGGACATTTGGAGCGCTCTCAGGACTACAGTGAAAAAGGAAATATCTTCCAATAAAAGCTAGATAGAAGCAATGTCAGAAACTTTTTCATGATGTATCTACTCAGCTAACAGAGTTGAACCTTTCTTTTGAGAGAGCAGTTTTGAAACACTCTTTTTGTGGAATCTGCAAGTGGATATTTGTCTAGCTTTGAGGATTTCGTTGGAAACGGGATTACATATAAAAAGCAGACAGCAGCATTCCCAGAAACTTCTTTGTGATGTTTGCATTCAAGTCACAGAGTTGAACATTCCGTTTCATAGAGCAGGTTTGAAACACTCTTTTTGTACTATCTGGATGTGGACATTTGGAGGGCTTTCAGGCCTATGGTGCAAAAGGAAATATCTTCCCCTGAAAACTAGACAGAAGCATTCTCAGAAACTTATTTGTGATGTGCGCCCTCAACTAACAGTGTTGAACCTTTCTTTTCATAGAGCAGTTTTTAAACACTCTTTTTCTAAAATCTGCAAGAGGATATTTGGATAGCTTTGAGGATTTCGTTGGAAACGGGATTGTCTTCATATAAACTCTAGACAGAAGCATTCTCAGAAACTTCATTGGGATGTTTCAATTGAAGTCACAGTGTTGAACAGTCCCTTTCATAGAGCAGGTTTGAAACACACTTTTCGTAGTATCTGGAAGTGGACATTTAGAGCGCTCTCAGGACTACGGTGAAAAAGGAAATATTCTCCAATAAAAGCTAGATAGAAGCAATGTCAGAAACTTTTTCATGATGTATCTACTCAGCTAACAGAGTTGAACCTTTCTTTTGAGAGAGCAGTTTTGAAACACTCTTTTTGTGGAATATGCAAGTGGATATTTGTCTAGCTTTGAGGATTTCGTTGGAAACGGGATTACATATAAAAAGCAGACCCCAGCATTCACAGAAACTGTTTTTTGATGTTTGCATTCAAGTCACAGAGTTGAACATTCCTTTTCACAGAGCAGGTTTGAAACACTCTTTTTGTAGTATCTGGATGTGGACATTTGGAGCGCTTTCAGGCCTATGGTGAAAAAGGAAATATCTTCCCCTGAAAACTAGACAGAAGCATACTCAGAAACTTATTTGTGATGTGCGCCCTCAACTAACAGTGTTGAAACTTTCTGTTGATAGAGCAGTTTTGAAACACTCTTTTTGTAAAATCTGCAAAAATATATTTGGATAGCTTTGAGGATTTCGTTGGAAACGGGATTGTCTTCATATAAACTCTAGACAGAAGCATTCTCAGAAACTTCATTGGGATGTTTCAATTGAAGTCACAGTGTTGAACAGTCCCTTTCATAGAGCAGGTTTGAAACACTCTTTTTGTAGTATCTGGACGTGGACATTTGGAGCGCTTTCAGGCCTATGTTGAAAAAGGAAATATCTTCCCATAAAAACAAGGCAGAAGCATTCTCTGAAACCGGTTTCTGAGGTGTGTCCTCAACTAACAGAGTTGAACATTTCTTTTTACAGAACAGTTTTCAAACACTCTTTTTGTGGAATCTGCAAGTGAATATTTGGCTGGCCTTGAGGATTTCGTTGGAAACGGGAATACTTATAAAAAGCAGACAGCAGCATTGTGAGAAACTTCTTTGTGATGTTTGCATTCAAGTCACAGAGTTCAAAGTTCCGTATCCTAGAGCAGGTTGGAAACACGCCTTTTGTCATATCTGGAAGTGTCCATTTGGAGCGCATTCAGGCTTGTGTTGAAAAAGGAAATATCTTCCCAAAGAAACCAGACAGAAGCATTCTCAGAAACTTATTTGTGATGTGTGTACTCAACTAACAGAATTCAACAATCGTTTTGAAGGAGCAGTTTTGAAACACTCTTTTTGTGGAATCTGCAAGTGCATATGTAGCTAGATTTGAGGATTTCGTTGGAAACGGGATTACATATAAAAAGCAGACAGCAGCATTCCCAGAAACTTCTTTGTGATGTTTCCATTGAAGTCACAGAGTTGAACATTCCCTTTCATAGAGCAGGTTTGAAACACCCTTTTGTAGTATCTGGAAGTGGACATTTAGAGCGCTCTCAGGACTACGGTGAAAAAGGAAATATCTTCCAATAAAAGCTAGATAGAAGCAATGTCAGAAACTTTTTCATGATGTATCTACTCAGCTAACAGAGTTGAATCTTTCTTTTGAGAGAGCAGTTTTAAAACAGTCTTTTTGGGGAATATGCAAGTGGATATTAAGCCAGCTTGGAGGATTTCGTTGGAAACGGGAATCCATATAAAAAGCAGACAGCAGCATTCTCAGAAATTTCTTTGTGATGTTTGCATTGAAGTCCCAGATGTGAACATTCCCTTTCATAAAGCAGGTTTGAAACACGCCTTTTGTCATATCTGGAAGTTGTCCATTTGGAGGGCATTCCGGCTTGTGTTGAAAAAGGAAATATCCTCCCATAAAAACTAGATAGAACATTCTCAGAAACTTATTTGTGATGTGTGTACTCAACTAACAGAATTGAACCATCGTTTTGAAAGAGCAGTTTTGAAACACTCCTTTTGTGGAATCTGCAAGTGGATATTTGTCTAGCTTTGAGGATTTCGTTGGAAACGGGATTACATATAAAAAGCAGACAGCAGCATTCCCAGAAACTTCTTTGTGATGTTTGCATTCAAGTCACTGAGTAGAACATTGCCTTTCATAGAGCACGTTTGAAACACTCTTTATGTAGTATCTGGATGTGGACATTTGGAGCGCTTTCAGGCCTATGGTGAAAAAGGAAATATCTTCCCCTGAAAACTAGACAGAAGCATTCTCAGAAACTTATTTGTGATGTGCGCCCTCAACTAACAGTGTTGAACCTTTCTTTTCATAGAGCAGTTTTGACACACTCTTTTTGTAAAATCTGCAAGAGGATATTTGGATAGCTTTGAGGATTTCGTTGGAAACGGGATTGTCTTCATATAAACTCTAGACAGAAGCATTCTCAGAAATTTCTTAGGGATGTTTCAATTGAAGTCACAGTGTTGAACATTCCCTGTCATAGAGCAGGTTTGAAACACTCTTTTTGTAGTATCTGGAAGTGGACATTTGGAGCGCTCTCAGGACTACGGTGAAAAAGGAAATATCTTCCAATAAAAGCAAGATAGAAGCAATGTCAGAAACTTTTTCATGATGTATCTACTCAGCTAACAGAGTTGAACCTTTCTTTTGAGAGAGCAGTTTTGAAACACGCTTTTTGTGGAATCTGCAAGTGGATATTTGTCTAGCTTTGAGGATTTCGTTGGAAACGGGATTACATATAAAAAGCAGACAGCAGCATTCCCAGAAACTTCTTTGTGAAGTTTGCATTCAAGTCACAGAGTTGAACATCCCCTTTCATAGAGCAGGTTTGAAACACTCTTTTTGTAGTATCTGGATGTGAACATTTGGAGGGCTTTCTGGCCTATGGTGAAAAAGGAAATATCTTCCCCTGAAAACTAGACAGAATCATTCTCAGAAACTTATTTGTGATGTGCGCCCTCAACTAACAGTGTTGAACCTTTCTTTTCATAGAGCAGTTTTGAAACACTCTTTTTGTAAAATCTGCAAGAGGATATTTGGATAGCTTTGAGGATTTCGTTGGAAACGGGATTGTCTTCATTTAAACTCTAGACAGAAGCATTCTCAGAAACTATATTGGGATGTTTAAATTTAAGTCACAGTGTTGAACAGTCCCTGTCATAGAGCAGGTTTGAAACACTCTTTTTGTAGTATCTGGAAGTGGACATTTGGAGCGCTCTCAGGACTACGGTGAAAAAGAAATATCTTCCAATAAAAGCTAGATAGAAGCAATGTCAGAAACTTTTTCATGATGTATCTACTCAGCGAACAGAGTTGAACCTTTCTTTTGAGAGAGCAGTTCTGAAACACTCTTTTTGTGGAATCTGCAAGTGGATATTTGTCTAGATTTGAGGATTTCGTTGGAAACGGGATTCCATATAAAAAGCAGACAGCAGCATTCCCAGAAACTTCTTTGTGATGTTTGCATTCAAGTCCCAGAGTTGAACATTCCCTTTCATAGAGCAGATTTGAAACACGCCTTTTGTCATATCTGGAAGTTGTCCATTTGGAGCGCATTCCGGCTTGTGTTGAAAAAGGAAATCTCCTCCCATAAAAACTAGATAGAAGCATTCTCAGAAACTTATTTGTGATGTGTGTACTCAACTAACAGAGTTGAACCTTTCTTTTGAGAGAGCAGTTTTGAAACACTCTTTTTGTGGAATCTGCAAGTGGATATTTGTCTAGCTTTGAGGATTTCGTTCGAAACGGGATTACATATAAAAAGCAGACAGCAGCATTCCCAGAATCTTCTTTGTGATGTTTGCATTCAAGTCACAGAGTTGAACATTCCCTTTCATAGAGCAGGTTTGAAACACTCTTTTTGTAGTATCTGGATGTGGACATTTGGAGCGCTTTCAGGCCTATGGTGAAAAAGGAAATATCTTCCCCTGAAAACTACACAGAAGCATTCTCAGAAACTTATTTGTGATGTGCGCCCTCAACTAACAGTGTTGAAACTTTCTTTTGATAGAGCAGTTTTGAAACACCCTTTTTGTAAAATCTGCAAGAGGATATTTGGATAGCTTTGAGGATTTCGTTGGAAACGGGATTGTCTTCATATAAACTCTAGACAGAAGCACTCTCGGAAGCTTCATTGGGATGTTTCAATTGAAGTCACAGTGTTGAACAGTCCCTTTCATAGAGCAGGTTTGAAACACTCTTTTTGTAGTATCTGGATGTGGACATTTGGAGCGCTTTCAGGCCTAAGGTGAAAAAGGAAGTATCTTCCCCTGAAAACTAGACAGAAGCATTCTCAGAAACTTATTTGTGATGTGCGCCCTCAACTAACAGTGTTGAACCTTTCTTTTGATAGGGCAGTTTTGAAGCACTCTTTGTGTAAAATCTGCAAGAGGATATTTGGATAGCTTTGAGGATTTCGTTGGAAACGGGATTGTCTTCATATAAACTCTAGACAGAAGCATTCTCAGTAACTTCATTGGGATGTTTCAATTGAAGTCACAGTGTTGAACAGTCCCTTTCATAGAGCAGGTTTGAGACACTCTTTTTGTGGTATCTGGAAGTGGACATTTGGAGCGCTGTCAGGACTACGGTGAAAAAGGAAATATCTTCCAATAAAAGCTAGATAGAAGCAATGTCAGAAAATTTGTCATGATGTATCTACTCAGCTAACAGAGTTGAACCTTTCTTTTGAGAGAGCAGTTTTGAAACACTCTTTTTGTGGAATCTGCAAGTGGATATTTGTCTAGCTTTGAGGATTTCGTTGGAAACGGGATTACATATAAAAAGCAGACAGCAGCATTCCCAGAAACTTCTTTGTGATGTTTGCATTCAAGTCACAGAGTTGAACATTCCCTTTCATAGAGCAGGTTTGAAACACTCTTTTTGAAGAGTTTAGATGTGGACATTTGGATGCTTTCAGGCCTATGGTGAAAAAGGAAATATCTTCCCCTGAAAACTAGACAGAAGCATTCTCAGAAACTTATATGTGATGTGCGCCCTCAACTAACAGTGTTGAACCTTTCTTTTGATAGGGCAGTTTTGAAGCACTCTTTGTGTAAAATCTGCAAGAGGATATTTGGATAGCTTTGAGGATTTCGTTGGAAACGAGATTGTCTTCATATAAACTCTAGACAGAAGCATTCTCAGTAACTTCATTGGGATGTTTCAATTGAAGTCACAGTGTTGAACAGTCCCTTTCATAGAGCAGGTTTGAGACACTCTTTTTGTAGTATCTGGAAGTGGACATTTGGAGCGCTGTCAGGACTACGGTGAAAAAGGAAATATCTTCCAATAAAAGCTAGATAGAAGCAATGTCAGAAAATTTGTCATGATGTATCTACTCAGCTAACAGAGTTGAACCTTTCTCTTGAGAGAGCAGTTTTGAAACACTCTTTTTGTGGAATCTGCAAGTGGATATTTGTCTAGATTTGAGGATTTCGTTGGAAACGGGATTACATATAAAAGCAGAGAGCAGCATTCTCAGAAACTTCTTTGTGATGTTTGCATTCAAGTCACAGATTTGAACATTCCCTTTCATAGAGCAGGTTTGAAACACTCTTTTTGTAGTATCTGGAAGTGGACATTTAGAGTGCTCTCAGGACTACGGTGAAAAAGGAAATATCTTCCAATAAAAGCTACATAGAAGCAATGTCAGAAACTTTTTCATGATATATCTACTCAGCTAACAGAGATCAACCTTTCTTTTGAGAGAGCAGTTTTAAAACAGTCTTTTTGTGGAATATGCAAGTGGATATTAAGCCAGCTTGGAGGATTTCCTTGGAAACGGGAATCAATATAAAAAGCAGACAGCAGCATTCTCAGAAACTTCTTTGTGATGTTTGCATTGAAGTCCCAGATTTGAACATTCCCTTTCATAGAGCAGGTTTGAAACACGCCTTTTGTCATATCTGGAAGTTGTCCATTTGGAGCGCATTCCGGCTTGTGTTGAAAAAGGAAATATCCTCCCATAAAAACTAGATAGAAGCATTCTCAGAAACTTATTTGTGATGTGAGTACTCAACTAACAGAGTTGAACCTTTCTTTTGAGAGAGCAGTTTTGAAACACTCTTTTTGTGGAATCTGCAAGTGGATATTTGTCTAGCTTTGAGGATTTCGTTCGAAACGGGATTACATATAAAAAGCAGACAGCAGCATTCCCAGAATCTTCTTTGTGATGTTTGCATTCAAGTCACAGAGTTGAACATTCCCTTTCATAGAGCAGGTTTGAAACACTCTTTTTGTAGTATCTGGATGTGGACATTTGGAGCGCTTTCAGGCCTATGGTGAAAAAGGATATATCTTCCCCTGAAAACTACACAGAAGCATTCTCAGAAAATTATTTGTGATGTGCGCCCTCAACTAACAGTGTTGAAGCTTTCTTTTGATAGAGCAGTTTTGAAACACTCTTTTTGTAAAATCTGCAAGAGGATATTTGGATAGCTTTGAGGATTTCGTTGGAAACGGGATTGTCTTCATATAAACTCTAGACAGAAGCATTCTCGGAAGCTTCATTGGGATGTTTCAATTGAAGTCACAGTGTTGAACAGTCCCTTTCATAGAGCAGGTTTGAAACACTCTTTTTGTAGTATCTGGATGTGGACATTTGGAGCGCTTTCAGGCCTATGGTGAAAAAGGAAATATCTTCCCCTGAAAACTAGACAGAAGCATTCTCAGAAACTTATTTGTGATGTGCGCCCTCAACTAACAGTGTTGAACCTTTCTTTTGATAGGGCAGTTTTGAAGCACTCTTTGTGTAAAATCTGCAAGAGGATATTTGGATAGCTTTGAGGATTTCGTTAGAAACGGGATTGTCTTCATATAAACTCTAGACAGAAGCATTCTCAGTAACTTCATTGGGATGTTTCAATTGAAGTCACAGTGTTGAACAGTCCCTTTCATAGAGCAGGTTTGAGACACTCTTTTTGTAGTATCTGGAAGTGGACATTTGGAGCGCTGTCAGGACTACGGTGAAAAAGGAAATATCTTCCAATAAAAGCTAGATAGAAGCAATGTCAGAAAATTTGTCATGATGTATCTACTCAGCTAACAGAGTTGAACCTTTCTTTTGAGAGAGCAGTTTTGAAACACTCTTTTTGTGGAATCTGCAAGTGGATATTTGTCTAGCTTTGAGGATTTCGTTGGAAACGGGATTACATATAAAAGCAGAGAGCAGCATTCTCAGAAACTTCTCTGTGATGTTTGCATTCAAGTCACAGATTTGAATATTCCCTTTCATAGAGCAGGTTTGAAACACTCTTTTTGTAGTATCTGGAAGTGGACATTGAGAGCGCTCTCAGGACTACGGTGAAAAAGGAAATATCTTCCAATAAAAGCTACATAGAAGCAATGTCAGAAACTTTTTCATGATATATCTACTCAGCTAACAGAGATCAATCTTTCTTTTGAGAGAGCAGTTTTAAAACAGTCTCTTTGTGGAATATGCAAGTGGATATTAAGCCAGCTTTGAGGATTTCCTTGGAAACGGGAATGCATATAAAAAGCAGACAGCAGCATTCTCAGAAACTTCTTTGTGATGTTTGCATTGAAGTCCCAGATTTGAACATTCCCTTTCATAGAGCAGGTTTGAAACACGCCTTTTGTCATATCTGGAAGTTGTCCATTTGGAGCGCATTCCGGCTTGTGTTGAAAAAGGAAATATCCTCCCATAAAAACTAGATAGAAGCATTCTCAGAAACTTATTTGTGATGTGTGTACTCAACTAACAGAGTTGAACCTTTCTTTTGAGAGAGCAGTTTTGAAACACTCTTTTTGTGGAATCTGCAAGTGGATATTTGTCTAGCTTTGAGGATTTCGTTCGAAACGGGATTACATATAAAAAGCAGACAGCAGCATTCCCAGAATCTTCTTTGTGATGTTTGCATTCAAGTCACAGAGTTGAACATTCCCTTTCATAGAGCAGGTTTGAAACACTCTTTTTGTAGTATCTGGATGTGGACATTTGGAGCGCTTTCAGGCCTATGGTGAAAAAGGATATATCTTCCCCTGAAAACTACACAGAAGCATTCTCAGAAAATTATTTGTGATGTGCGCCCTCAACTAACAGTGTTGAAGCTTTCTTTTGATAGAGCAGTTTTGAAACACTCTTTTTGTAAAATCTGCAAGAGGATATTTGGATAGCTTTGAGGATTTCGTTGGAAACGGGATTGTCTTCATATAAACTCTAGACAGAAGCATTCTCGGAAGCTTCATTGGGATGTTTCAATTGAAGTCACAGTGTTGAACAGTCCCTTTCATAGAGCAGGTTTGAAACACTCTTTTTGTAGTATCTGGATGTGGACATTTGGAGCGCTTTCAGGCCTATGGTGAAAAAGGAAATATCTTCCCCTGAAAACTAGACAGAAGCATTCTCAGAAACTTATTTGTGATGTGCGCCCTCAACTAACAGTGTTGAACCTTTCTTTTGATAGGGCAGTTTTGAAGCACTCTTTGTGTAAAATCTGCAAGAGGATATTTGGATAGCTTTGAGGATTTCGTTAGAAACGGGATTGTCTTCATATAAACTCTAGACAGAAGCATTCTCAGTAACTTCATTGGGATGTTTCAATTGAAGTCACAGTGTTGAACAGTCCCTTTCATAGAGCAGGTTTGAGACACTCTTTTTGTAGTATCTGGAAGTGGACATTTGGAGCGCTGTCAGGACTACGGTGAAAAAGGAAATATCTTCCAATAAAAGCTAGATAGAAGCAATGTCAGAAAATTTGTCATGATGTATCTACTCAGCTAACAGAGTTGAACCTTTCTTTTGAGAGAGCAGTTTTGAAACACTCTTTTTGTGGAATCTGCAAGTGGATATTTTTCTAGCTTTGAGGATTTCGTTGGAAACGGGATTACATATAAAAGCAGAGAGCAGCATTCTCAGAAACTTCTCTGTGATGTTTGCATTCAAGTCACAGATTTGAATATTCCCTTTCATAGAGCAGGTTTGAAACACTCTTTTTGTAGTATCTGGAAGTGGACATTGAGAGCGCTCTCAGGACTACGGTGAAAAAGGAAATATCTTCCAATAAAAGCTACATAGAAGCAATGTCAGAAACTTTTTCATGATATATCTACTCAGCTAACAGAGATCAATCTTTCTTTTGAGAGAGCAGTTTTAAAACAGTCTCTTTGTGGAATATGCAAGTGGATATTAAGCCAGCTTTGAGGATTTCCTTGGAAACGGGAATGCATATAAAAAGCAGACAGCAGCATTCTCAGAAACTTCTTTGTGATGTTTGCATTGAAGTCCCAGATTTGAACATTCCCTTTCATAGAGCAGGTTTGAAACACGCCTTTTGTCATATCTGGAAGTTGTCCATTTGGAGCGCATTCCGGCTTGTGTTGAAAAAGGAAATATCCTCCCATAAAAACTAGATAGAAGCATTCTCAGAAACTTATTTGTGATGTGTGTACTCAACTAACAGAGTTGAACCTTTCTTTTGAGAGAGCAGTTTTGAAACACTCTTTTTGTGGAATCTGCAAGTGGATATTTGTCTAGCTTTGAGGATTTCGTTGGAAACGGGATTACATATAAAAAGCAGACAGCAGCATTCCCAGAAACTTCTTTGTGATGTTTGCATTCAAATCACAGAGTTGAACCTTCCCTTTCATAGAGCAGGTTTGAAACACACTTTTTGTAGTATCTGTATGTGGACATTTGGAGCGCTTTCAGGCCTATGGTGAAAAAGGAAATATCTTCCCCTGAAAACTAAACAGAAGCATTCTCAGAAACTTATTTGTGATGTGCGCCCTCAACTAACAGTGTTGAACCTTTCTTTTGATAGAGCAGTTTTGAAACCCTCTTTTTGTAAAATCTGCAAGAGGATATTTGGATAGCTTTGAGGATTTCGTTGGAAACGGGATTGTCTTCATATAAACTCTAGACAGAAGCATTCTCAGAAGCTTCATTGGGATGTTTCAATTGAAGTCACAGAGTTGAACATTCCCTTTCATAGAGCAGGTTTGAAACACTCTTTTTGTAGTATCTGGATGTGGACATTTGGAGCGCTTTCAGGCCTGAGGTGAAAAAGGAAATATCTTCCCCTGAAAACTAGACAGAAGCATTCTCAGAAACTTATTTTTGATGTGCGCCCTCAACTAACAGTGTTGAAGCTTTCTTTTGATAGAGCAGTTTTGAAACTCTCTTTTTGTGGAATCTGCAAGTGGATATTTGTCTAGCTTTGAGGATTTCGTTGGAAACGGGATTACATATAAAAAGCAGACAGCAGCATTCCCAGAATCTTGTTTGTGATGTTTGCATTCAAGTCACAGAGTTGAACATTCCCTTTCAGAGACCAGGTTTGAAACACTCTTTTTATAGAATCTGGATGTGGACATTTGGAGCGCTTTCAGGCCTATGGTGAAAAAGGAAATATCTTCTCCTGAAAACTAGACAGAAGCATTCTCAGAATCTTATTTGTGATGTGCGCCCTCAACTAACAGTGTTGAAGCTTTCTTTTGATAGAGCAGTTTTGAAACACTCTTTTTGTAAAATCTGCAAGAGGATATTTGGATAGCTTTGAGGATTTCATTGGAAACGGGATTGTCTTCATATAAACTCTAGACAGAAGCATTCTCAGAAGCTTCATTGGGATGTTTCAATTGAAGTCACAGTGTTGAACAGTCCCTTTCATAGAGCAGGTTTGAAACACTCTTTTTGTAGTATCTGGAAGTGGACATTTGGAGAGATCTCTGGACTACGGTGAAAAAGGAAATATCTTCCAATAAAAGCTAGATAGAAGCAATGTCAGAAACTTTTTCATGATGTATCTACTCAGCTAACAGAGTTGAACCTTTCTTTTGAGAGAGCAGTTTTGAAACACTCTTTTTGTGGAATCTGCAAGTGGATATTTGTCTAGCTTTGAGGATTTCGTTGGAAACGGGATTACATATAAAAAGCAGACAGCAGCATTCCCAGTAACTTCCTTGTGATGTTTGCATTCAAGTCACAGAGTTGAACATTCCCTTTCATAGAGCAGGTTTGAAACACTCTTTTTGTAGTATCTGGATGTGGACATTTGGAGCGCTTTCAGGCCTATGGTGAAAAAGGAAATATCTTCCCCTGAAAACTAGACAGAAGCATTCTGAGAATCTTATTTGTGATGTGCGCCCTCAACTAACAGTGTTGAAGCTTTCTTTTGATAGACCAGTTTTGAAACACTCTTTTTGTAAAATCTGCAAGAAGATATTTGGATAGCTTTGAGGATTTCATTGGAAACGGGATTGTCTTCATATAAACTCTAGACAGAAGCATTCTCAGAAGCTTCATTGGGATGTTTCAATTGAACTCACAGTGTTGAACAGTCCCTTTCATAGAGCAGGTTTGAAACACTCTTTTTGTTGTATCTGGAAGTGGACATTTGGAGCGCTCTCAGGACTACGGTGAAAAAGGAAATATCTTCCAATAAAAGCTACATAGAAGCAATGTCAGAAACTTTTTCATGATGTATCTACTCAGCTAACAGAGTTGAACCTTTCTTTTGAGAGAGCAGTTTTGAAACACTCTTTTTGTGGAATCTGCAAGTGGATATTTGTCTAGCTTTGAGGATTTCGTTGGAAACGGGATTACATATAAAAAGCAGACAGCAGCATTCCCAGTAACTTCCTTGTGATGTTTGCATTCAAGTCACAGAGTTGAACATTCCCTTTCATAGAGCAGGTTTGAAACACTCTTTTTGTAGTATCTGGATGTGGACATTTGGAGCGCTTTCAGGCCTATGGTGAAAAAGGAAATATCTTCCCCTGAAAACTAGACAGAAGCATTCTGAGAATCTTATTTGTGATGTTCGCCCTCAACTAACAGTGTTGAAGCTTTCTTTTGATAGAGCAGTTTTGAAACACTCTTTTTGTAAAATCTGCAAGAGGATATTTGGATAGCTTTGAGGATTTCATTGGAAACGGGATTGTCTTCATATAAACTCTAGACAGAAGCATTCTCAGAAGCTTCATTGGGATGTTTCAATTGAAGTCACAGTGTTGAACAGTCCCTTTCATAGAGCAGGATTGAAACACTCTTTTTGTTGTATCTGGAAGTGGACATTTGGAGCGCTCTCAGGACTACGGTGAAAAAGGAAATATCTTCCAATAAAAGCTACATAGAAGCAATGTCAGAAACTTTTTCATGATGTATCTACTCAGCTAACAGAGTTGAACCTTTCTTTTGAGAGAGCAGTTTTGAAACACTCTTTTTGTGGAATCTGCAAGTGGATATTTGTCTAGCTTTGAGGATTTCGTTGGAAACGGGATTACATATAAAAAGCAGACAGCAGCATTCCCAGTAACATCTTTGTGATGTTTGCATTCAAGTCACAGAGTTGAACATTCCCTTTCATAGAGCAGGTTTGAAACACTCTTTTTGTAGTATCTGGATGTGGACATTTGGAGCGCTTTCAGGCCTATGGTGAAAAAGGAAATATCTTCCCCTGAAAACTAGACAGAAGCATTCTCAGAATCTTATTTGTGATGTGCGCCCTCAACTAACAGTGTTGAAGCTTTCTTTTGATAGAGCAGTTTTGAAACACTCTTTTTGTAAAATCTGCAAGAGGATATTTGGATAGCTTTGAGGATTTCGTTGGAAACGGGATTGTCTTCATATAAACTCTAGACAGAAGCATTCTCAGAAGCTTCATTGGGATGTTTCAATTGAAGTCACAGTGTTGAACAGTCCCTTTCATAGAGCAGGTTTGAAACACTCTTTTTGTAGTATCTGGAAGTGGACATTTGGAGCGTTCTAAGGACTACGGTGAAAAAGGAAATATCTTCCAATAAAAGCTAGATAGAAGCAATGTCAGAAACTTTTTCATGATGTATCTACTCAGCCAACAGAGTTGAACCTTTCTTTTGAGAGAGCAGTTTTGAAACACTCTTTTTGTGGAATCTGGAAGTGGATATTTGTCTAGCTTTGAGGATTTCGTTCGAAACGGGATTACATATAAAAAGCAGACAGCAGCATTCCCAGAATCTTCTTTGTGATGTTTGCATTCAAGTCACAGAGTTGAACATTCCCTTTCATAGAGCAGGTTTGAAACACTCTTTTTGTAGTATCTGGATGTGGACATTTGGAGCGCTTTCAGGCCTATGGTGAAAAAGGAAATATCTTCCCCTGAAAACTAGACAGAAGCATTCTCAGAAACTTATTTGTGATGTGCGCCCTCAACTAACAGTGTTGAACCTTTCTTTTGATAGAGCAGTTTTGAAACACTCTTTTTGTAAAATCTGCAAGAGGATATTTGGATAGCTTTGAGGATTTCGGTGGAAACGGGATAGTCTTCATATAAACTCTAGACAGTAGCATTCTCAGAAGCTTCATTGGGATGTTTCAATTGAAGTCACAGTGTTGAACAGTCCCTTTCATAGAGCAGGTTTGAAACACTCTTTTTGTAGTATCTGGATGTGGACATTTGGAGCGCTTTCAGCCCTATGGTGAAAAAGGAAATATCTTCCCCTGAAAACTAGACAGAAGCATTCTCAGAAACTTCATTGGGATGTTTCAATTGAAGTCACAGTGTTGAACAGTCCCTTTCATAGTGCAGGTTTGAAACACTCTTTTTGTAGTATCTGGAAGTGGACATTTTGAGCGCTCTCAGGACTTCGGTGAAAAAGGAAATATCTTCCAATAAAAGCCAAATAGAAGCAATGTCAGAAACTTTTTCATGATGTATCTACTCAGCTAACAGAGTTTAACCTTTCTTTTGAGAGAGCAGTTTTGAAACATTCTTTTTGTGGAATCTGCAATTGGATATTTCTCTAGCTTTGAGGATTTCGTTGGAAACGGGATAACATATAAAAAGCTACAGCAGCATTCCCAGAAACTTCTTTGTGATGTTTGCATTCAAGTCACAGAGTTCTACATTCCCTTTCATAGAGCAGGTTTGAAACACTCTTTTTGTAGTATCTGGAAGTGGACATTTAGAGCGCTCTCAAAACTATGGTGAAAAAGGAAATATCTTCCAATAAAAGCTAGATAGAAGCAATGTCAGAAACTTTTTCATGATATATCTACTCAGCTAACAGAGTTCAACCTTTCTTTTGAGAGAGCAGTTTTAAAACAGTCTTTTTGTGGAATATGCAAGTGGATATTAAGCCAGCTTGGAGGATTTCGTTGGAAACGGGAATCCATATAAAAAGCAGACAGCAGCATTCTCAGAAACTTCTTTGTGATGTTTGCATTGAAGTCCCGGATTTGAACATTCCCTTTCATAGAGCAGGTTTGAAACACGCCTTTTGTCATATCTAGAAGTTGTCCGTTTGGAGCGCATTCCGGCTTGTGTTGAAAAAGGAAATATCCTCCCATAAAAACTAGATAGAAGCACTCTCAGAAACTTATTTGTGATGTGTGTACTCAACTAACAGAATTGAACCATCGGTTTGAAAGAGCAGTTTTGAAACACTCCTTTTGTGGAATCTGCATGTGGATATTTGTCTAGCTTTGAGGATTTCGTTGGAAACGGGATTGTCTTCATATAAACTCTAGACAGTAGCATTCTCAGAAGCTTCATTGGCATGTTTCAGTTGAAGTCGCAGTGTTGAACAGTCCCTTTCATAGAGCAGGTTTGAAACACTCTTTTTGTAGTATCTGGAAGTGGACATTTGGAGCGCTTTCAGGCCTATGTTGAAAAAGGAAATATCTTCCCATAAAAACAAGACAGAAGCATTCTCTGAAACCGGTTTCTGAGGTGTGTCCTCAACTAACAGAGTTGAACATTTCTTTTGACAGAACAGTTTTGAAACACTCATTTTGTGGTATCTGCAAGTGAATATTTGGCTGGCCTTGAGGATTTCGTTGGAACCGGGAATACTTATAAAAAGCAGACAGCAGCATTGTGAGAAACTTCTTTGTGATGTTTGCATTCAAGTCACAGAGTTCAAAGTTCGGTATCATAGAGCAGGTTGGAAACACGCCCTTTGTCATATCTGGATGTGTCCGTTTGGAGCGCATTCAGGCTTGTGTTGAAAAAGGAAATATCTTCCCATAGAAACCAGACAGAAGCATTCTCAGAAACTTATTTGTGATGTGTGTACTCAACTAACAGAATTCAACAATCGTTTTGAAGGAGCAGTTTTGAAACACTCTTTTTGTGGAATCTGCAAGTGCATATGTAGCTAGATTTGAGGATTTCGTTGGAAACGGGATTACATATAAAAAGCAGACAGCAGCATTCCCAGAAACTTCTTTGTGATGTTTGCATTCAAGTCACACAGTTGAACATTCCCTTTCATAGAGCAGGTTTGAAACACTCTTTTTGTAGTATCTGGAAGTGGACATTTAGAGCGCTCTCAGGACTACGGTGAAAAAGGAAATATCTTCCAATAAAAGCTAGATAGAAGCAATGTCAGAAACTTTTTCATGATATATCTACTCAGCTAACAGAGTTCAACCTTTCTTTTGAGAGAGCAGTTTTGAAACACTCTTTTTGTGGAATCTGCAAGTGGATATTTGTCTAGCTTTGAGGATTTCGTTGGAAACGGGATTACATATAAAAAGCAGACAGCAGCATTCCCAGAAACTTCTTTGTGATGTTTGCATTCAAGTCACAGAGTTGAACATTCCCTTTCATAGAGCAGGTTTGAAACACTCTTTTTGTAGTATCTGGATGTGGACATTTGGCGCGCTTTCAGGCCTATGGTGAAAAAGGAAATATCTTCCCCTGAAAACTAGACAGAAGCATTCTCAGAAACTTATTTGTGATGTGCGCCCTCAACTAACAGTGTTGAAGCTTTCTTTTGATAGAGCAGTTTGGAAACACTCTTTTTGTGGAATCTGCAAGTGGATATTTGTCTAGCTTTGAGGATTTCGTTGGAAACGTGATTACATATTAAAAGCAGACAGCAGCATTCCCAGAAACTTCTTTGTGATGTTTGCATTCAAGTCACAGAGTTGAACATTCCCTTTCATAGAGCAGGTTTGAAACACTCTTTTTGTAGTATCTGGATGTGGACATTTGGAGCGCTTTCAGGCCTATGGTGAAAAAGGAAATATCTTCCCCTGAAAACTAGACAGAACCATTCTCAGAATCTTATTTGTGATGTGCGCCCTCAACTAACAGTGTTGAAGCTTTCTTTTGATAGAGCAGTTTTGAAACCCTCTTTTGGTAAAATCTGCAAGAGGATATTTGGATAGCTTTGAGGATTTCGTTGGAAACGGGATTGTCGTCATATAAACTGTAGACAGAAGCATTCTCAGAAGCTTCATTGGGATGTTTCAATTGAAGTCACAGTGTTGAACAGTCCCTTTCATGGAGCAGGTTTGAAACACTCTTTTTGTAGTATCTGGAAGTGGACATTTCGAGCGCTCTCAGGACTACGGTGAAAAAGGAAATATCTTCCAATACAAGCTAGATAGAAGCAATGTCAGAAACTTTTTCATGATGTATCTACTCAGCTAACAGAGTTGAACCTTTCTTTTGAGAGAGCAGTTTTGAAACACTCTTTTTGTGGAATCTGCAACTGGATATTTGTCTAGCTTTGAGGATTTCGTTGGAAACGTGATTACATACAAAAAGCAGACAGCAGCATTCCCAGAAACTTCTTTCTGATGTTTGCATTCAAGTCACAGAGTTGAACATTCCCTTTCATAGAGCAGGTTTGAAACACTCTTTTTGTAGTATCTGGATGTGGACATTTGGAGCGCTTTCAGACCTATGGTGAAAAAGGAAATATCTTCCCCTGAAAACTACACAGAAGCATTCTCAGAATCTTATTTGTGATGTGCGCCCTCAACTAACAGTGTTGAAGCTTTCTTTTGATAGAGCAGTTTTGAAATCCTCTTTTTGTAAAATCTGCAAGAGGATATTTGGATAGCTTTGAGGATTTCGTTTTAAACGGGATTGCCTTCATATAAACTCTAGACAGAAGCATTCTCAGAAGCTTCATTGGGATGTTTCAATTGAAGTCACAGTGTTGAACAGTCCCTTTCATAGAGCAGGTTTGAAACACTCTTTTTGTAGTATATGGAAGTGGACATTTCGAGCGCTCTCAGGACTGCGGTGAAAAAGGAAATATCTTCCAATAAAAGCTAGATAGAAGCAATGTCAGAAACTTTTTCATGATGTATCTACTCAGCTAACAGAGTTGAACCTTTCTTTTGAGAGAGCAGTTTTGAAACACTCTTTTTTTGGAATCTGCAAGTGGATATTTGTCTAGCTTTGAGGATTTCGTTGGAAACGGGATTACATATAAAAAGCAGACAGCAGCATTCCCACAAACTTCTTTGTGATGTTTGCATTCAAGTCACAGAGTTGAACATTCCCTTTCATAGAGCAGGTTTGAAACACTCTTTTTGTAGTATCTGGATGTGGACATTTGGAGCGCTTTCAGGCCTATGGTGAAAAAGGAAATATCTTCCCCTGAAAACTAAACAGAAGCATTCTCAGAAACTTATTTGTGATGTGCGCCCTCAACTAACAGTGTTGAACCTTTCTTTTGATAGAGCAGTTTTGAAACCCTCTTTTTGTAAAATCTGCAAGAGGATATTTGGATAGCTTTGAGGATTTCGTTGGAAACGGGATTGTCTTCATATAAACTCTAGACAGAAGCATTCTCAGAAGCTTCATTGGGATGTTTCAATTGAAGTCACAGAGTTGAACATTCCCTTTCATAGAGCAGGTTTGAAACACTCTTTTTGTAGTATCTGGATGTGGACATTTGGAGCGCTTTCAGGCCTGAGGTGAAAAAGGAAATATCTTCCCCTGAAAACTAGACAGAAGCATTCTCAGAAACTTATTTGTGATGTGCGCCCTCAACTAACAGTGTAGAAGCTTTCTTTTGATAGAGCAGTTTTGAAACACTCTTTTTGTGGAATCTGCAAGTGGATATTTGTCTAGCTTTGAGGATTTCGTTGGAAATGGGATTACATATAAAAAGCAGACAGCAGCATTCCCAGAATCTTCTTTGTGATGTTTGCATTCAAGTCACAGTGTTGAACATTCCCTTTCATAGAGCAGGTTTGAAACACTCTTTTTGTAGTATCTGGATGTGGACATTTGGAGCGCTTTCAGGCCTATGGTGAAAAAGGAAATATCTTCCACTGAAAACTAGACAGAAGCATTCTCAGAATCTTATTTGTGATGTGCGCCCTCAACTAACAGTGTTGAAGCTTTCTTTTGATAGAGCAGTTTTGAAACACTCTTTTTGTAAAATCTGCAAGAGGATATTTGGATAGCATTGAGGATTTCGTTGGAAACGGGATTGTCTTCATATAAACTCTAGACAGAAGCATTCTCAGAAGCTTCATTGGGATGTTTCAATTGAAGTCACAGTGTTGAACAGTCCCTTTCATAGAGCAGGTTTGAAACACTCTTTTTGTAGTTTCTGGAAGTGGACATTTGGAGAGATCTCTGGACTACGGTGAAAAAGGAAATATCTTCCAATAAAAGCTAGATAGAAGCAATGTCAGAAACTTTTTCATGATGTATCTACTCAGCTAACAGAGTTGAACCTTTCTTTTGAGAGAGCAGTTTTGAAACACTCTTTTTGTGGAATCTGCAAGTGGATATTTGTCTAGCTTTGAGGATTTCGTTGGAAACGGGATTACATATAAAAAGCAGACAGCAGCATTCCCAGTAACTTCCTTGTGATGTTTGCATTCAAGTCACAGAGTTGAACATTCCCTTTCATAGAGCAGGTTTGAAACACTCTTTTTGTAGTATCTGGATGTGGACATTTGGAGCGCTTTCAGGCCTATGGTGAAAAAGGAAATATCTTCCCCTGAAAACTAGACAGAAGCATTCTGAGAATCTTATTTGTGATGTGCGCCCTCAACTAACAGTGTTGAAGCTTTCTTTTGATAGACCAGTTTTGAAACACTCTTTTTGTAAAATCTGCAAGAAGATATTTGGATAGCTTTGAGGATTTCATTGGAAACGGGATTGTCTTCATATAAACTCTAGACAGAAGCATTCTCAGAAGCTTCATTGGGATGTTTCAATTGAACTCACAGTGTTGAACAGTCCCTTTCATAGAGCAGGTTTGAAACACTCTTTTTGTTGTATCTGGAAGTGGACATTTGGAGCGCTCTCAGGACTACGGTGAAAAAGGAAATATCTTCCAATAAAAGCTACATAGAAGCAATGTCAGAAACTTTTTCATGATGTATCTACTCAGCTAACAGAGTTGAACCTTTCTTTTGAGAGAGCAGTTTTGAAACACTCTTTTTGTGGAATCTGCAAGTGGATATTTGTCTAGCTTTGAGGATTTCGTTGGAAACGGGATTACATATAAAAAGCAGACAGCAGCATTCCCAGTAACTTCCTTGTGATGTTTGCATTCAAGTCACAGAGTTGAACATTCCCTTTCATAGAGCAGGTTTGAAACACTCTTTTTGTAGTATCTGGATGTGGACATTTGGAGCGCTTTCAGGCCTATGGTGAAAAAGGAAATATCTTCCCCTGAAAACTAGACAGAAGCATTCTGAGAATCTTATTTGTGATGTTCGCCCTCAACTAACAGTGTTGAAGCTTTCTTTTGATAGAGCAGTTTTGAAACACTCTTTTTGTAAAATCTGCAAGAGGATATTTGGATAGCTTTGAGGATTTCATTGGAAACGGGATTGTCTTCATATAAACTCTAGACAGAAGCATTCTCAGAAGCTTCATTGGGATGTTTCAATTGAAGTCACAGTGTTGAACAGTCCCTTTCATAGAGCAGGATTGAAACACTCTTTTTGTTGTATCTGGAAGTGGACATTTGGAGCGCTCTCAGGACTACGGTGAAAAAGGAAATATCTTCCAATAAAAGCTACATAGAAGCAATGTCAGAAACTTTTTCATGATGTATCTACTCAGCTAACAGAGTTGAACCTTTCTTTTGAGAGAGCAGTTTTGAAACACTCTTTTTGTGGAATCTGCAAGTGGATATTTGTCTAGCTTTGAGGATTTCGTTGGAAACGGGATTACATATAAAAAGCAGACAGCAGCATTCCCAGTAACATCTTTGTGATGTTTGCATTCAAGTCACAGAGTTGAACATTCCCTTTCATAGAGCAGGTTTGAAACACTCTTTTTGTAGTATCTGGATATGGACATTTGGAGCGCTTTCAGGCCTATGGTGAAAAAGGAAATATCTTCCCCTGAAAACTAGACAGAAGCATTCTCAGAATCTTATTTGTGATGTGCGCCCTCAACTAACAGTGTTGAAGCTTTCTTTTGATAGAGCAGTTTTGAAACACTCTTTTTGTAAAATCTGCAAGAGGATATTTGGATAGCTTTGAGGATTTCGTTGGAAACGGGATTGTCTTCATATAAACTCTAGACAGAAGCATTCTCAGAAGCTTCATTGGGATGTTTCAATTGAAGTCACAGTGTTGAACAGTCCCTTTCATAGAGCAGGTTTGAAACACTCTTTTTGTAGTATCTGGAAGTGGACATTTGGAGCGTTCTAAGGACTACGGTGAAAAAGGAAATATCTTCCAATAAAAGCTAGATAGAAGCAATGTCAGAAACTTTTTCATGATGTATCTACTCAGCCAACAGAGTTGAACCTTTCTTTTGAGAGAGCAGTTTTGAAACACTCTTTTTGTGGAATCTGGAAGTGGATATTTGTCTAGCTTTGAGGATTTCGTTCGAAACGGGATTACATATAAAAAGCAGACAGCAGCATTCCCAGAATCTTCTTTGTGATGTTTGCATTCAAGTCACAGAGTTGAACATTCCCTTTCATAGAGCAGGTTTGAAACACTCTTTTTGTAGTATCTGGATGTGGACATTTGGAGCGCTTTCAGGCCTATGGTGAAAAAGGAAATATCTTCCCCTGAAAACTAGACAGAAGCATTCTCAGAAACTTATTTGTGATGTGCGCCCTCAA
This sequence comes from Homo sapiens, assembly GCF_000001405.40. Lineage (NCBI taxonomy): Eukaryota > Metazoa > Chordata > Mammalia > Primates > Hominidae > Homo > Homo sapiens. The sequence goes on from NT_187370.1 coordinate 42,047, forward strand.
CTAACAGTGTTGAACCTTTCTTTTGATAGAGCAGTTTTGAAACACTCTTTTTGTAAAATCTGCAAGAGGATATTTGGATAGCTTTGAGGATTTCGGTGGAAACGGGATAGTCTTCATATAAACTCTAGACAGTAGCATTCTCAGAAGCTTCATTGGGATGTTTCAATTGAAGTCACAGTGTTGAACAGTCCCTTTCATAGAGCAGGTTTGAAACACTCTTTTTGTAGTATCTGGATGTGGACATTTGGAGCGCTTTCAGCCCTATGGTGAAAAAGGAAATATCTTCCCCTGAAAACTAGACAGAAGCATTCTCAGAAACTTCATTGGGATGTTTCAATTGAAGTCACAGTGTTGAACAGTCCCTTTCATAGTGCAGGTTTGAAACACTCTTTTTGTAGTATCTGGAAGTGGACATTTTGAGCGCTCTCAGGACTTCGGTGAAAAAGGAAATATCTTCCAATAAAAGCCAAATAGAAGCAATGTCAGAAACTTTTTCATGATGTATCTACTCAGCTAACAGAGTTTAACCTTTCTTTTGAGAGAGCAGTTTTGAAACATTCTTTTTGTGGAATCTGCAATTGGATATTTCTCTAGCTTTGAGGATTTCGTTGGAAACGGGATAACATATAAAAAGCTACAGCAGCATTCCCAGAAACTTCTTTGTGATGTTTGCATTCAAGTCACAGAGTTCTACATTCCCTTTCATAGAGCAGGTTTGAAACACTCTTTTTGTAGTATCTGGAAGTGGACATTTAGAGCGCTCTCAAAACTATGGTGAAAAAGGAAATATCTTCCAATAAAAGCTAGATAGAAGCAATGTCAGAAACTTTTTCATGATATATCTACTCAGCTAACAGAGTTCAACCTTTCTTTTGAGAGAGCAGTTTTAAAACAGTCTTTTTGTGGAATATGCAAGTGGATATTAAGCCAGCTTGGAGGATTTCGTTGGAAACGGGAATCCATATAAAAAGCAGACAGCAGCATTCTCAGAAACTTCTTTGTGATGTTTGCATTGAAGTCCCGGATTTGAACATTCCCTTTCATAGAGCAGGTTTGAAACACGCCTTTTGTCATATCTAGAAGTTGTCCGTTTGGAGCGCATTCCGGCTTGTGTTGAAAAAGGAAATATCCTCCCATAAAAACTAGATAGAAGCACTCTCAGAAACTTATTTGTGATGTGTGTACTCAACTAACAGAATTGAACCATCGGTTTGAAAGAGCAGTTTTGAAACACTCCTTTTGTGGAATCTGCATGTGGATATTTGTCTAGCTTTGAGGATTTCGTTGGAAACGGGATTGTCTTCATATAAACTCTAGACAGTAGCATTCTCAGAAGCTTCATTGGCATGTTTCAGTTGAAGTCGCAGTGTTGAACAGTCCCTTTCATAGAGCAGGTTTGAAACACTCTTTTTGTAGTATCTGGAAGTGGACATTTGGAGCGCTTTCAGGCCTATGTTGAAAAAGGAAATATCTTCCCATAAAAACAAGACAGAAGCATTCTCTGAAACCGGTTTCTGAGGTGTGTCCTCAACTAACAGAGTTGAACATTTCTTTTGACAGAACAGTTTTGAAACACTCATTTTGTGGTATCTGCAAGTGAATATTTGGCTGGCCTTGAGGATTTCGTTGGAACCGGGAATACTTATAAAAAGCAGACAGCAGCATTGTGAGAAACTTCTTTGTGATGTTTGCATTCAAGTCACAGAGTTCAAAGTTCGGTATCATAGAGCAGGTTGGAAACACGCCCTTTGTCATATCTGGATGTGTCCGTTTGGAGCGCATTCAGGCTTGTGTTGAAAAAGGAAATATCTTCCCATAGAAACCAGACAGAAGCATTCTCAGAAACTTATTTGTGATGTGTGTACTCAACTAACAGAATTCAACAATCGTTTTGAAGGAGCAGTTTTGAAACACTCTTTTTGTGGAATCTGCAAGTGCATATGTAGCTAGATTTGAGGATTTCGTTGGAAACGGGATTACATATAAAAAGCAGACAGCAGCATTCCCAGAAACTTCTTTGTGATGTTTGCATTCAAGTCACACAGTTGAACATTCCCTTTCATAGAGCAGGTTTGAAACACTCTTTTTGTAGTATCTGGAAGTGGACATTTAGAGCGCTCTCAGGACTACGGTGAAAAAGGAAATATCTTCCAATAAAAGCTAGATAGAAGCAATGTCAGAAACTTTTTCATGATATATCTACTCAGCTAACAGAGTTCAACCTTTCTTTTGAGAGAGCAGTTTTGAAACACTCTTTTTGTGGAATCTGCAAGTGGATATTTGTCTAGCTTTGAGGATTTCGTTGGAAACGGGATTACATATAAAAAGCAGACAGCAGCATTCCCAGAAACTTCTTTGTGATGTTTGCATTCAAGTCACACAGTTGAACATTCCCTTTCATAGAGCAGGTTTGAAACACTCTTTTTGTAGTATCTGGAAGTGGACATTTAGAGCGCTCTCAGGACTACGGTGAAAAAGGAAATATCTTCCAATAAAAGCTAGATAGAAGCAATGTCAGAAACTTTTTCATGATATATCTACTCAGCTAACAGAGTTCAACCTTTCTTTTGAGAGAGCAGTTTTGAAACACTCTTTTTGTGGAATCTGCAAGTGGATATTTGTCTAGCTTTGAGGATTTCGTTGGAAACGGGATTACATATAAAAAGCAGACAGCAGCATTCCCAGAAACTTCTTTGTGATGTTTGCATTCAAGTCACAGAGTTGAACATTCCCTTTCATAGAGCAGGTTTGAAACACTCTTTTTGTAGTATCTGGATGTGGACATTTGGCGCGCTTTCAGGCCTATGGTGAAAAAGGAAATATCTTCCCCTGAAAACTAGACAGAAGCATTCTCAGAAACTTATTTGTGATGTGCGCCCTCAACTAACAGTGTTGAAGCTTTCTTTTGATAGAGCAGTTTGGAAACACTCTTTTTGTGGAATCTGCAAGTGGATATTTGTCTAGCTTTGAGGATTTCGTTGGAAACGTGATTACATATTAAAAGCAGACAGCAGCATTCCCAGAAACTTCTTTGTGATGTTTGCATTCAAGTCACAGAGTTGAACATTCCCTTTCATAGAGCAGGTTTGAAACACTCTTTTTGTAGTATCTGGATGTGGACATTTGGAGCGCTTTCAGGCCTATGGTGAAAAAGGAAATATCTTCCCCTGAAAACTAGACAGAACCATTCTCAGAATCTTATTTGTGATGTGCGCCCTCAACTAACAGTGTTGAAGCTTTCTTTTGATAGAGCAGTTTTGAAACCCTCTTTTGGTAAAATCTGCAAGAGGATATTTGGATAGCTTTGAGGATTTCGTTGGAAACGGGATTGTCGTCATATAAACTGTAGACAGAAGCATTCTCAGAAGCTTCATTGGGATGTTTCAATTGAAGTCACAGTGTTGAACAGTCCCTTTCATGGAGCAGGTTTGAAACACTCTTTTTGTAGTATCTGGAAGTGGACATTTCGAGCGCTCTCAGGACTACGGTGAAAAAGGAAATATCTTCCAATACAAGCTAGATAGAAGCAATGTCAGAAACTTTTTCATGATGTATCTACTCAGCTAACAGAGTTGAACCTTTCTTTTGAGAGAGCAGTTTTGAAACACTCTTTTTGTGGAATCTGCAACTGGATATTTGTCTAGTTTGAGGATTTCGTTGGAAACGTGATTACATACAAAAAGCAGACAGCAGCATTCCCAGAAACTTCTTTCTGATGTTTGCATTCAAGTCACAGAGTTGAACATTCCCTTTCATAGAGCAGGTTTGAAACACTCTTTTTGTAGTATCTGGATGTGGACATTTGGAGCGCTTTCAGGCCTATGGTGAAAAAGGAAATATCTTCCCCTGAAAACTAAACAGAAGCATTCTCAGAAACTTATTTGTGATGTGCGCCCTCAACTAACAGTGTTGAACCTTTCTTTTGATAGAGCAGTTTTGAAACCCTCTTTTTGTAAAATCTGCAAGAGGATATTTGGATAGCTTTGAGGATTTCGTTGGAAACGGGATTGTCTTCATATAAACTCTAGACAGAAGCATTCTCAGAAGCTTCATTGGGATGTTTCAATTGAAGTCACAGAGTTGAACATTCCCTTTCATAGAGCAGGTTTGAAACACTCTTTTTGTAGTATCTGGATGTGGACATTTGGAGCGCTTTCAGGCCTGAGGTGAAAAAGGAAATATCTTCCCCTGAAAACTAGACAGAAGCATTCTCAGAAACTTATTTGTGATGTGCGCCCTCAACTAACAGTGTAGAAGCTTTCTTTTGATAGAGCAGTTTTGAAACACTCTTTTTGTGGAATCTGCAAGTGGATATTTGTCTAGCTTTGAGGATTTCGTTGGAAATGGGATTGCATATAAAAAGCAGACAGCAGCATTCCCAGAATCTTCTTTGTGATGTTTGCATTCAAGTCACAGTGTTGAACATTCCCTTTCATAGAGCAGGTTTGAAACACTCTTTTTGTAGTATCTGGATGTGGACATTTGGAGCGCTTTCAGGCCTATGGTGAAAAAGGAAATATCTTCCACTGAAAACTAGACAGAAGCATTCTCAGAATCTTATTTGTGATGTGCGCCCTCAACTAACAGTGTTGAAGCTTTCTTTTGATAGAGCAGTTTTGAAACACTCTTTTTGTAAAATCTGCAAGAGGATATTTGGATAGCATTGAGGATTTCGTTGGAAACGGGATTGTCTTCATATAAACTCTAGACAGAAGCATTCTCAGAAGCTTCATTGGGATGTTTCAATTGAAGTCACAGTGTTGAACAGTCCCTTTCATAGAGCAGGTTTGAAACACTCTTTTTGTAGTTTCTGGAAGTGGACATTTGGAGAGATCTCATTAATAGGGTGATAAAGGAAATATCTTCCAATAAAAGGTAGATAGAAGCAATGTCAGAAACTTTTTCATGATGTATCTACTCAGCTAACAGAGTTGAACCTTTCTTTTGAGAGAGCAGTTTTGAAACACTCTTTTTGTGGAATCTGCAAGTGGATATTTGTCTAGCTTTGAGGATTTCGTTGGAAACGGGATTACATATAAAAAGCAGACAGCAGCATTCCCAGAAACTTCTTTGTGATGTTTGCATTCAAGTCACAGAGTTGAACATTCCCTTTCATAGAGCAGGTTTGAAACACTCTTTTTGTAGTATCTGGATGTGGACATTTGGAGCGCTTTCAGGCCTATGGTGAAAAAGGAAATATCTTCCCCTGAAAACTAGACAGAAGCATTCTCAGAAACTTATTTGTGATGTGCGCCCTCAACTAACAGTGTTGAAGCTTTCTTTTGATAGAGCAGTTTTGAAACACTCTTTTTGTAATATCGGCAAGAGGATATTTGGATAGCTTTGAGGATTTCGTTGGAAACGGGATTGTCTTCATATAAACTCTAGACAGAAGCATTCTCAGAACCTTCATTGGGATGTTTCAATTGAAGTCACAGTGTTGAACAGTCCCTTTCATAGAGCAGGTTTGAAACACTCTTTTTGTAGTATCTGGATGTGGACATTTGGAGAGATCTCAGGAATACGGTGATAAAGGAAATATCTTCCAATAAAAGCTAGATAGAAGCAATGTCAGAAACTTTTTCATGATGTATCTACTCAGCTAACAGAGTTGAACCTTTCTTTTGAGAGAGCAGTTTTGGAACACTCTTTTTGTGGAATCTGCAAGTGGATATTTGTCTAGTTTGAGGATTTCGTTGGAAACGGGATTACATATAAAAAGCAGACAGCAGCATTCCCAGAAATTTCTTTGTGATGTTTGCATTCAAGTCACAGAGTTGAACATTCCCTTTCATAGAGCAGGTTTGAAACAATCTTTTTGTAGTATCTGGAATTGGACATTTGGAGAGGTCTCAGGAATACGGTGATAAAGGAAATATCTTCCAATAAAAGCTAGATAGAAGCAATGTCAGAAACTTTTTCATGATGTATCTACTCAGCTAACAGAGTTGAAACTTTCTTTTGAGAGAGCAGTTTTGAAACACTCTTTTTGTGGAATCGGCAACTGGATATTTGTCTAGCTTTGAGGATTTCGTTGGAAACGGGATTACATATAAAAAGCAGACAGCAGCATTCCCAGAAATTTCTTTGTGATGTTTGCATTCAAGTCACAGAGTTCAACATTCCCTTTCATAGAGCAGGTTTGAAACACTATTTTTGTAGTATCTGGATATGGACATTTGGAGCGCTTTCAGACCTATGGTGAAAAAGGAAATATCTTCCCCTGAAAACTAGACAGAAGCATTCTCAGAATCTTATTTGTGATGTGCGCCCTCAACTAACAGTGTTGAAGCTTTCTTTTGATAGAGCAGTTTTGAAACACTCTTTTTGTAAAATCTGCAAGAGGATATTTGGATAGCTTTGAGGATTTCGTTGGAAACGGGGTTGTCTTCATACAAAATCTAGACAGAAGCATTCTCAGAAGCTTCATTGGGATGTTTCAATTGAAGTAACAGTGTTGAACAGTCCCTTTCATAGAGCAGGTTTGAAACACTCTTTTTGTAGTATCTGGAAGTGGACGTTTGGAGAGTTCTCAGGAATACGGTGATAAAGGAAATATCTTCCAATAAAAGCTAGATAGAAGCAATGTCAGAAACTTTTTCATGATGTATCTACTCAGCTAACAGAGTTGAACCTTTCTTTTGAGAGAGCAGTTTTGAAACACTCTTTGTGTGGAATCTGCAAGCGGATATTTTTCTAGCTTTGAGGATTTCGTTGGAAACGGGATTACCTATAAAAAGCAGACAGCAGCATTCCCAGAAACTTCTTTGTGATGTTTGCATTCAAGTCACAGAGTTGAACATTGCCTTTCATAGAGCAGGTTTGAAACACTCTTTTTGTAGTATCTGGATGTGGACATTTGGAGCGCTTTCAGGCCTATGGTGAAAAAGGAAATATCTTCCCCTGAAAACTAGACAGAAGCATTCTCAGAATCTTATTTGTGATGTGCGCCCTCAACTATCAGTGTTGAAGCTTTCTTTTGATAGAGCAGTTTTGAAACACACTTTTTGTAAAATCTGCAAGAGGATATTTGGATAGCTTTGAGGATTTCGTTGGAAACGGGATTGTCTTCATATAAACTCTAGACAGAAGCATTCTCAGAAGCTTCATGGGATGTTTCAATTGAAGTCACAGTGTTGAACAGTCCCTTTCATAGAGCAGGTTTGAAACACTCTTTTTGTAGTATCTGGATGTGGACATTTGGAGAGATCTCAGGAATACGGTGATAAAGGAAATATCTTCCAATAAAAGCTAGATAGAAGCAATGTCAGAAACTTTTTCATGATGTATCTACTCAGCTAACAGAGTTGAACCTTTCTTTTGAGAGAGCAGTTTTGGAACAATCTTTTTGTGGAATCTGCAAGTGGATATTTGTCTAGCTTTGAGGATTTCGTTGGAAACGGGATTACATATAAAAAGCAGACAGCAGCATTCCCAGAAATTTCTTTGTGATGTTTGCATTCAAGTCACAGAGTTGAACATTCCCTTTCATAGAGCAGGTTTGAAACACTCTTTTTGTAGTATCTGGAATTGGACATTTGGAGAGATCTCAGGAATACGGTGATAAAGGAAATATCTTCCAATAAAAGCTAGATAGAAGCAATGTCAGAAACTTTTTCATGATGTATCTACTCAGCTAACAGAGTTGAAACTTTCTTTTGAGAGAGCAGTTTTGAAACACTCTTTTTGTGGAATCTGCAACTGGATATTTGTCTAGCTTTGAGGATTTCGTTGGAAACGGGATTACATATAAAAAGCAGACAGCAGCATTCCCAGAAATTTCTTTGTGATGTTTGCATTCAAGTCACAGAGTTGAACATTCCCTTTCATAGAGCAGGTTTGAAACACTCTTTTTGTAGTATCTGGATGTGGACATTTGGAGCGCTTTCAGACCTATGGTGAAAAAGGAAATATCTTCCCCTGAAAACTAGACAGAAGCATTCTCAGAATCTTATTTGTGATGTGCGCCTTCAACTAACAGTGTTGAAGCTTTCTTTTGATAGAGCAGTTTAGAAACACTCTTTTTGTAAAATCTGCAAGAGGATATTTGGATAGCTTTGAGGATTTCGTTGGAAACGGGATTGTCTTCATACAAAATCTAGACAGAAGCATTCTCAGAAGCTTTATTGGGATGTTTCAATTGAAGTAACAGTGTTGAACAGTCCCTTTCATAGAGCAGGTTTGAAACACTCTTTTTGTAGTATCTGGAAGTGGACGTTTGGAGAGTTCTCAGGAATACGGTGATAAAGGAAATATCTTCCAATAAAAGCTAGATAGAAGCAATGTCAGAAACTTTTTCATGATGTATCTACTCAGCTAACAGAGTTGAACCTTTCTTTTGAGAGAGCAGTTTTGAAACACTCTTTTTGTGGAATCTGCAAGCGGATATTTTTCTAGCTTTGAGGATTTCGTTGGAAACGGGATTACCTATAAAAAGCAGACAGCAGCATTCCCAGAAACTTCTTTGTGATGTTTGCATTCAAGTCACAGAGTTGAACATTCCCTTTCATAGAGCAGGTTTGAAACACTCTTTTTGTAGTATCTGGATGTGGACATTTGGAGCGCTTTCAGGCCTATGGTGAAAAAGGAAATATCTTCCCCTGAAAACTAGACAGAAGCATACTCAGAATCTTATTTGTGATGTGCGCCCTCAACTAACAGTGTTGAAACTTTCTTTTGATAGAGCAGTTTTGAAACACTCTTTTTGTAAAATCTGCAAGAGGATATTTGGATAGCTTTGAGGATTTCGTTGGAAACGGTATTGTCTTCATATAAACTCTAGACAGAAGCATTCTCAGAAGCTTCATTGGGATGTTTCTATTGAAGTCACAGTGTTGAACAGTCCCTTTCATAGAGCAGGTTTGAAACACTCTTTTTGTAGTATCTGGAAGTGGACATGTGGAGAGATCTCAGGAATACGGTGATAAAGGAAATATCTTCCAATAAAAGCTAGATAGAAGCAATGTCAGAAACTTTTTCATGATGTATCTACTCAGCTAACAGAGTTGAACCTTTCTTTTGAGAGAGCAGTTTTGAAACACTCTTTTTGTGGAATCTGCAAGCGGATATTTTTCTAGCTTTGAGGATTTCGTTGGAAACGGGATTACATATAAAAAGCAGACAGCAGCATTCCCAGAAACTTCTTTGTGATGTTTGCATTCAAGTCACAGAGTTGAACATTCCCTTTCATAGAGCAGGTTTGAAACACTCTTTTTGTAGTATCTGGATGTGGACATTTGGAGCGCTTTCAGGCCTATGGTGAAAAAGGAAATATCTTCCCCTGAAAACTAGACAGAAGCATACTCAGAATCTTATTTGTGATGTGCGCCCTCAACTAACAGTGTTGAAACTTTCTTTTGATAGAGCAGTTTTGAAACACTCTTTTTGTAAAATCTGCAAGAGGATATTTGGATAGCTTTGAGGATTTCGTTGGAAACGGGATTGTCTTCATATAAACTCTAGACAGAAGCATTCTCAGAAGCTTCATTGGGATGTTTCAATTGAAGTCACAGTGTTGAACAGTCCCTTTCATAGAGCAGGTTTGAAACACTCTTTTTGTAGTAGCTGGAAGTGGACATTTGGAGAGATCTCAGGAATAGAGTGATAAAGGAAATATCTTCCAATAAAAGCTAGATAGAAGCAATGTCAGAAACTTTTTCATGATGTATCTACTCAGCTAACAGAGTTGAACCATTCCTTTTAGAGAGCAGTTTTGAAACAGTCTTTTTGTGGAATCTGCAAGTGGATATTTGTCTAGCTTTGAGGATTTCGTTGGAAACGGGATTATATATACAAAGCAGACAGCAGCATTCCCAGAATCTTCTTTGTGATGTTTGCATTCAAGTCACAGAGTTGAACATTCCCTTTCATAGAGCAGGTTTGAAACACTCTTTTTGTAGTATCTGGATGTGGACATTTGGAGCGCTTTCAGGCCTATGGTGAAAAAGGAAATATCTTCCCCTGAAAACTAGACAGAAGCATTCTCAGAAACTTATTTGTGATGTGCGCCCTCAACTAACAGTGTTGAACCTTTCTTTTGATAGAGCAGTTTTGAAATCCTCTTTTTGTAAAATCTGCAAAAGGATATTTGGATAGCTTTGAGGATTTCGTTGTAAACGGGATTGTCTTCATACAAAATCTAGACAGAAGCATTCTCAGAAGCTTCAATGGGATGTTTCAATTGAAGTCACAGAGTTGAACAGTCCCTTTCATAGAGCAGGTTTGAAACAATCTTTTTGTAGTATCTGGAAGTGGACGTTTGGAGAGTTCTCAGGAATACGGTGATAAAGGAATTATCTTCCAATAAAAGCTAGATAGAAGCAATGTCAGAAACTTTTTCATGATGTATCTACGCAGCTAACAGAGTTGAACCTTTTTTTTGAGAGAGCAGTTTTGAAACACTCTTTTTGTGGAATCTGCAAGTGGATGTTTGTCTAGCTTTGAGGATTTCGTTGGAAACGGGATTACATATAAAAAGCAGACAGCAGCATTCCCAGAAACTTCTTTGTGATGTTTGCATTCAAGTCACAGAGTTGAACATTCCCTTTCATAGAGCAGGATTGAAACACTCTTTTTGTAGTATCTGGATGTGGACATTTGGAGCGCTTTCAGGCCTATGGTGAAAAAGGAAATATCTTCCCCTGAAAACTAGACAGAAGCATTCTCAGAAACTTATTTGTGATGTGCGCCCTCAACTAACAGTGTTGAAGCTTTCTTTTGATAGAGCAGTTTTGAAACACTCTTTTTGTAAAATCTGCAAGAGGATATTTGGATAGCTTTGAGGATTTCGTTGGAAACGGGATTGTCTTCATATAAACTCTAGACAGAAGCATTCTCAGAAGCTTCATTGGGATGTTTCAATTGAAGTCACAGTGTTGAAAAGTCCCTTTCATAGAGCAGGTTTGAAACACTCTTTTTATAGTAGCTGGAAGTGGACATTTGGAGAGATCTCAGGAATAGAGTGATAAAGGAAATATCTTCCAATAAAAGCTAGATAGAAGCAATGTCAGAAACTTTTTCATGATGTATCTACTCAGCTAACAGAGTTGAACCTTTCCTTTGAGTGAGCAGTTTTGAAACAGTCTTTTTGTGGAATCTGCAAGTGGATATTTGTCTAGCTTTGAGGATTTCGTTGGAAACGGGATTACATATAAAAAGCAGACAGCAGCATTCCCAGAAACTTCTTTGTGATGTTTGCATTCAAGTCACAGAGTTGAACATTCCCTTTCATAGAGCAGGTTTGAAACACTCTTTTTGTAGTATCTGGTTGTGGACATTTGGAGCGCTTTCAGGCCTACGGTGAAAAAGGAAATATCTTCCCCTGAAAACTAGACAGAAGCATTCTCAGAATCTTATTTGTGATGTGCGCCCTCAACTAACAGTGTTGAAGCTTTCTTTTGATAGAGCAGTTTTGAAACACTCTTTTTGTGGAATCTGCAAGTGGATATTTGTCTAGCTTTGAGGATTTCGTTGGAAACGGGATTACATATACAAAGCAGACAGCAGCATTCCCAGAATCTTCTTTGTGATGTTTGCATTCAAGTCACAGAGTTGAACATTCCCTTTCATAGAGCAGGTTTGAAACACTCTTTTTGTAGTATCTGGATGTGGACATTTGGAGCGCTTTCAGGCCTATGGTGAAAAAGGAAATATCTTCCCCTGAAAACTAGACAGAAGCATTCTCAGAAACTTTTTTGTGATGTGCGCCCTCAACTAACAGTGTTGAACCTTTCTTTTGATAGAGCAGTTTTGAAATCCTCTTTTTGTAAAATCTGCAAGAGGATATTTGGATAGCTTTGAGGATTTCGTTGGAAACGGGATTGTCTTCATATAAACTCTAGACAGAAGCATTCTCAGAAGCTTCAATGGGATGTTTCAATTGAAGTCACAGTGTTGAACAGTCCCTTTCATAGAGCAGGTTTGAAACAATCTTTTTGTAGTATCTGGAAGTGGACGTTTGGAGAGTTCTCAGGAATACGGTGATAAAGGAATTATCTTCCAATAAAAGCTAGATAGAAGCAATGTCAGAAACTTTTTCATGATGTATCTACGCAGCTAACAGAGTTGAACCTTTTTTTTGAGAGAGCAGTTTTGAAACACTCTTTTTGTGGAATCTGCAAGTGGATGTTTGTCTAGCTTTGAGGATTTCGTTGGAAACGGGATTACATATAAAAAGCAGACAGCAGCATTCCCAGAAACTTCTTTGTGATGTTTGCATTCAAGTCACAGAGTTGAACATTCCCTTTCATAGAGCAGGTTTGAAACACTCTTTTTGTAGTATCTGGATGTGGACATTTGGAGCGCTTTCAGGCCTATGGTGAAAAAGGAAATATCTTCCCCTGAAAACTAGACAGAAGCATTCTCAGAAACTTATTTGTGATGTGCGCCCTCAACTAACAGTGTTGAAGCTTTCTTTTGATAGAGCAGTTTTGAAACACTCTTTTTGTAAAATCTGCAAGAGGATATTTGGATAGCTTTGAGGATTTCGTTGGAAACGGGATTGTCTTCATATAAACTCTAGACAGAAGCATTCTCAGAAGCTTCATTGGGATGTTTCAATTGAAGTCACAGTGTTGAACAGTCCCTTTCATAGAGCAGGTTTGAAACACTCTTTTTGTAGTATCTGGAAGTGGACATTTGGAGCGCTCTCAGGACTACGGTGAAAAAGGAAATATCTTCCAATAAAAGCTACATAGAAGCAATGTCAGAAACTTTTTCATGATGTATCTACTCAGCTAACAGAGTTGAACCTTTCTTTTGAGAGAGCAGTTTTGAAACACTCTTTTTGTGGAATCTGCAAGTGGATATTTGTCTAGCTTTGAGGATTTCGTTGGAAACGGGATTACATATACAAAGCAGACAGCAGCATTCCCAGTAACTTCTTTGTGATGTTTGCATTCAAGTCACAGAGTTCAGCATTCCCTTTCATAGAGCAGGTTTGAAACACTCTTTTTGTAGTATCTGGATGTGGACATTTGGAGCGCTTTCAGGCCTATGGTGAAAAAGGAAATATGTTCCCCTGAAAACTAGACAGAAGCATTCGCAGAATCTTATTTGTGATGTGCGCCCTCAACTAACAGTGTTGAAGCTTTCTTTTGATAGAGCAGTTTTGAAACACTCTTTTTGTAAAATCTGCAAGAGGATATTTGGATAGCTTTGAGGATTTCGTTGGAAACGGGATTGTCTTCATATAAACTCTAGACAGAAGCATTCTCAGAAGCTTCATTGGGATGTTTCAATTGAAGTCACAGTGTTGAAAAGTCCCTTTCATAGAGCAGGTTTGAAACACTCTTTTTATAGTAGCTGGAAGTGGACATTTGGAGAGATCTCAGGAATAGAGTGATAAAGGAAATATCTTCCAATAAAAGCTAGATAGAAGCAATGTCAGAAACTTTTTCATGATGTATCTACTCAGCTAACAGAGTTGAACCTTTCCTTTGAGTGAGCAGTTTTGAAACAGTCTTTTTGTGGAATCTGCAAGTGGATATTTGTCTAGCTTTGAGGATTTCGTTGGAAACGGGATTACATATAAAAAGCAGACAGCAGCATTCCCAGAAACTTCTTTGTGATGTTTGCATTCAAGTCACAGAGTTGAACATTCCCTTTCATAGAGCAGGTTTGAAACACTCTTTTTGTAGTATCTGGTTGTGGACATTTGGAGCGCTTTCAGGCCTACGGTGAAAAAGGAAATATCTTCCCCTGAAAACTAGACAGAAGCATTCTCAGAATCTTATTTGTGATGTGCGCCCTCAACTAACAGTGTTGAAGCTTTGTTTTGATAGAGCAGTTTTGAAACACTCTTTTTGTGGAATCTGCAAGTGGATATTTGTCTAGCTTTGAGGATTTCGTTGGAAACGGGATTACATATACAAAGCAGACAGCAGCATTCCCAGAATCTTCTTTGTGATGTTTGCATTCAAGTCACAGAGTTGAACATTCCCTTTCATAGAGCAGGTTTGAAACACTCTTTTTGTAGTATCTGGATGTGGACATTTGGAGCGCTTTCAGGCCTATGGTGAAAAAGGAAATATCTTCCCCTGAAAACTAGACAGAAGCATTCTCAGAAACTTTTTTGTGATGTGCGCCCTCAACTAACAGTGTTGAACCTTTCTTTTGATAGAGCAGTTTTGAAATCCTCTTTTTGTAAAATCTGCAAGAGGATATTTGGATAGCTTTGAGGATTTCGTTGGAAACGGGATTGTCTTCATATAAACTCTAGACAGAAGCATTCTCAGAAGCTTCAATGGGATGTTTCAATTGAAGTCACAGTGTTGAACAGTCCCTTTCATAGAGCAGGTTTGAAACAATCTTTTTGTAGTATCTGGAAGTGGACGTTTGGAGAGTTCTCAGGAATACGGTGATAAAGGAATTATCTTCCAATAAAAGCTAGATAGAAGCAATGTCAGAAACTTTTTCATGATGTATCTACGCAGCTAACAGAGTTGAACCTTTTTTTTGAGAGAGCAGTTTTGAAACACTCTTTTTGTGGAATCTGCAAGTGGATGTTTGTCTAGCTTTGAGGATTTCGTTGGAAACGGGATTACATATAAAAAGCAGACAGCAGCATTCCCAGAAACTTCTTTGTGATGTTTGCATTCAAGTCACAGAGTTGAACATTCCCTTTCATAGAGCAGGTTTGAAACACTCTTTTTGTAGTATCTGGATGTGGACATTTGGAGCGCTTTCAGGCCTATGGTGAAAAAGGAAATATCTTCCCCTGAAAACTAGACAGAAGCATTCTCAGAAACTTATTTGTGATGTGCGCCCTCAACTAACAGTGTTGAAGCTTTCTTTTGATAGAGCAGTTTTGAAACACCCTTTTTGTAAAATCTGCAAGAGGATATTTGGATAGCTTTGAGGATTTCGTTGGAAACGGGATTGTCTTCATATAAAATCTAGACAGAAGCATTCTCAGAAGCTTCATTGGGATGTTTCAATTGAAGTCACAGTGTTGAACAGTCCCTTTCATAGAGCAGGTTTGAAACACTCTTTTTGTAGTATCTGGAAGTGGACATTTGGAGCGTTCTCAGGACTACAGTGAAAAAGGAAATATCTTCCAATAAAAGCTACATAGAAGCAATGTCAGAAACTTTTTCATGATGTATCTACTCAGCTAACAGAGTTGAACCTTTCTTTTGAGAGAGCAGTTTTGAAACACTCTTTTTGTGGAATCTGCAAGTGGATATTTGTCTAGCTTTGAGGATTTCGTTGGAAACGGGATTACATATACAAAGCAGACAGCAGCATTCCCAGTAACTTCTTTGTGATGTTTGCATTCAAGTCACAGAGTTCAGCATTCCCTTTCATAGAGCAGGTTTGAAACACTCTTTTTGTAGTATCTGGATGTGGACATTTGGAGCGCTTTCAGGCCTATGGTGAAAAAGGAAATATGTTCCCCTGAAAACTAGACAGAAGCATTCGCAGAATCTTATTTGTGATGTGCGCCCTCAACTAACAGTGTTGAAGCTTTCTTTTGATAGAGCAGTTTTGAAACACTCTTTTTGTAAAATCTGCAAGAGGATATTTGGATAGCTTTGAGGATTTCGTTGGAAACGGGATTGTCTTCATATAAACTCTAGACAGAAGCATTCTCAGAAGCTTCATTGGGATGTTTCAATTGAAGTCACAGTGTTGAAAAGTCCCTTTCATAGAGCAGGTTTGAAACACTCTTTTTATAGTAGCTGGAAGTGGACATTTGGAGAGATCTCAGGAATAGAGTGATAAAGGAAATATCTTCCAATAAAAGCTAGATAGAAGCAATGTCAGAAACTTTTTCATGATGTATCTACTCAGCTAACAGAGTTGAACCTTTCCTTTGAGTGAGCAGTTTTGAAACAGTCTTTTTGTGGAATCTGCAAGTGGATATTTGTCTAGCTTTGAGGATTTCGTTGGAAACGGGATTACATATAAAAAGCAGACAGCAGCATTCCCAGAAACTTCTTTGTGATGTTTGCATTCAAGTCACAGAGTTGAACATTCCCTTTCATAGAGCAGGTTTGAAACACTCTTTTTGTAGTATCTGGTTGTGGACATTTGGAGCGCTTTCAGGCCTACGGTGAAAAAGGAAATATCTTCCCCTGAAAACTAGACAGAAGCATTCTCAGAATCTTATTTGTGATGTGCGCCCTCAACTAACAGTGTTGAAGCTTTCTTTTGATAGAGCAGTTTTGAAACACTCTTTTTGTGGAATCTGCAAGTGGATATTTGTCTAGCTTTGAGGATTTCGTTGGAAACGGGATTACATATACAAAGCAGACAGCAGCATTCCCAGAATCTTCTTTGTGATGTTTGCATTCAAGTCACAGAGTTGAACATTCCCTTTCATAGAGCAGGTTTGAAACACTCTTTTTGTAGTATCTGGATGTGGACATTTGGAGCGCTTTCAGGCCTATGGTGAAAAAGGAAATATCTTCCCCTGAAAACTAGACAGAAGCATTCTCAGAAACTTTTTTGTGATGTGCGCCCTCAACTAACAGTGTTGAACCTTTCTTTTGATAGAGCAGTTTTGAAATCCTCTTTTTGTAAAATCTGCAAGAGGATATTTGGATAGCTTTGAGGATTTCGTTGGAAACGGGATTGTCTTCATATAAACTCTAGACAGAAGCATTCTCAGAAGCTTCAATGGGATGTTTCAATTGAAGTCACAGTGTTGAACAGTCCCTTTCATAGAGCAGGTTTGAAACAATCTTTTTGTAGTATCTGGAAGTGGACGTTTGGAGAGTTCTCAGGAATACGGTGATAAAGGAATTATCTTCCAATAAAAGCTAGATAGAAGCAATGTCAGAAACTTTTTCATGATGTATCTACGCAGCTAACAGAGTTGAACCTTTTTTTTGAGAGAGCAGTTTTGAAACACTCTTTTTGTGGAATCTGCAAGTGGATGTTTGTCTAGCTTTGAGGATTTCGTTGGAAACGGGATTACATATAAAAAGCAGACAGCAGCATTCCCAGAAACTTCTTTGTGATGTTTGCATTCAAGTCACAGAGTTGAACATTCCCTTTCATAGAGCAGGTTTGAAACACTCTTTTTGTAGTATCTGGATGTGGACATTTGGAGCGCTTTCAGGCCTATGGTGAAAAAGGAAATATCTTCCCCTGAAAACTAGACAGAAGCATTCTCAGAAACTTATTTGTGATGTGCGCCCTCAACTAACAGTGTTGAAGCTTTCTTTTGATAGAGCAGTTTTGAAACACCCTTTTTGTAAAATCTGCAAGAGGATATTTGGATAGCTTTGAGGATTTCGTTGGAAACGGGATTGTCTTCATATAAAATCTAGACAGAAGCATTCTCAGAAGCTTCATTGGGATGTTTCAATTGAAGTCACAGTGTTGAACAGTCCCTTTCATAGAGCAGGTTTGAAACACTCTTTTTGTAGTATCTGGAAGTGGACATTTGGAGCGTTCTCAGGACTACAGTGAAAAAGGAAATATCTTCCAATAAAAGCTACATAGAAGCAATGTCAGAAACTTTTTCATGATGTATCTACTCAGCTAACAGAGTTGAACCTTTCTTTTGAGAGAGCAGTTTTGAAACACTCTTTTTGTGGAATCTGCAAGTGGATATTTGTCTAGCTTTGAGGATTTCGTTGGAAACGGGATTACATATACAAAGCAGACAGCAGCATTCCCAGTAACTTCTTTGTGATGTTTGCATTCAAGTCACAGAGTTGAACAGTCCCTTTCATAGAGCAGGTTTGAAACACTCTTTTTGTAGTATCTGGATGTGGACATTTGGAGCGCTTTCAGGCCTATGGTGAAAAAGGAAATATGTTCCCCTGAAAACTAGACAGAAGCATTCTCAGAATCTTATTTGTGATGTGCGCCCTCAACTAACAGTGTTGAAGCTTTCTTTTGATAGAGCAGTTTTGAAACACTCTTTTTGTAAAATCTGCAAGAGGATATTTGGATAGCTTTGAGGATTTCGTTGGAAACGGGATTGTCTTCATATAAACTCTAGACAGAAGCATTCTCAGAAGCTTCATTGGGATGTTTCAATTGAAGTCACAGTGTTGAAAAGTCCCTTTCATAGAGCAGGTTTGAAACACTCTTTTTGTAGTATCTGGAAGTGGACATTTGGAGCGCTCTCAGGACTACGGTGAAAAAGGAAATATCTTCCAATAAAAGCTACATAGAAGCAATGTCAGAAACTTTTTCATGATGTATCTACTCAGCTAACAGAGTTGAACCTTTCTTTTGAGAGAGCAGTTTTGAAACACTCTTTTTGTGGAATCTGCAAGTGGATATTTGTCTAGCTTTGAGGATTTCGTTGGAAACGGGATTACATATACAAAGCAGACAGCAGCATTCCCAGTAACTTCTTTGTGATGTTTGCATTCAAGTCACAGAGTTGAGCATTCCCTTTCATAGAGCAGGTTTGAAACACTCTTTTTGTAGTATCTGGATGTGGACATTTGGAGCGCTTTCAGGCCTATGGTGAAAAAGGAAATATGTTCCCCTGAAAACTAGACAGAAGCATTCGCAGAATCTTATTTGTGATGTGCGCCCTCAACTAACAGTGTTGAAGCTTTCTTTTGATAGAGCAGTTTTGAAACACTCTTTTCGTAAAATCTGCAAGAGGATATTTGGATAGCTTTGAGGATTTCGTTGGAAACGGGATTGTCTTCATATAAACTCTAGACAGAAGCATTCTCAGAAGCTTCATTGGGATGTTTCAATTGAAGTCACAGTGTTGAAAAGTCCCTTTCATAGAGCAGGTTTGAAACACTCTTTTTGTAGTAGCTGGAAGTGGACATTTGGAGAGATCTCAGGAATAGAGTGATAAAGGAAATATCTTCCAATAAAAGCTAGATAGAAGCAATGTCAGAAACTTTTTCATGATGTATCTACTCAGCTAACAGAGTTGAACCTTTCTTTTGAGAGAGCAGTTTTGAAACACTCTTTTTGTGGAATCTGCAAGCGGATATTTTTCTAGCTTTGAGGATTTCGTTGGAAACGGGATTACATATAAAAAGCAGACAGCAGCATTCCCAGAAACTTCTTTGTGATGTTTGCATTCAAGTCACAGAGTTGAACATTCCCTTTCATAGAGCAGGTTTGAAACACTCTTTTTGTAGTATCTGGATGTGGACATTTGGAGCGCTTTCAGGTCTATGGTGAAAAAGGAAATATCTTCCCCTGAAAACTAGACAGAAGCATACTCAGAATCTTATTTGTGATGTGCGCCCTCAACTAACAGTGTTGAAACTTTCTTTTGATAGAGCAGTTTTGAAACACTCTTTTTGTAAAATCTGCAAGAGGATATTTGGATAGCTTTGAGGATTTCGTTGGAAACGGGATTGTCTTCATATAAACTCTAGACAGAAGCATTCTCAGAAGCTTCATTGGGATGTTTCAATTGAAGTCACAGTGTTGAACAGTCCCTTTCATAGAGCAGGTTTGAAACACTCTTTTTGTAGTAGCTGGAAGTGGACATTTGGAGAGATCTCAGGAATAGAGTGATAAAGGAAATATCTTCCAATAAAAGCTAGATAGAAGCAATGTCAGAAACTTTTTCATGATGTATCTACTCAGCTAACAGAGTTGAACCATTCCTTTTAGAGAGCAGTTTTGAAACAGTCTTTTTGTGGAATCTGCAAGTGGATATTTGTCTAGCTTTGAGGATTTCGTTGGAAACGGGATTATATATACAAAGCAGACAGCAGCATTCCCAGAATCTTCTTTGTGATGTTTGCATTCAAGTCACAGAGTTGAACATTCCCTTTCATAGAGCAGGTTTGAAACACTCTTTTTGTAGTATCTGGATGTGGACATTTGGAGCGCTTTCAGGCCTATGGTGAAAAAGGAAATATCTTCCCCTGAAAACTAGACAGAAGCATTCTCAGAAACTTATTTGTGATGTGCGCCCTCAACTAACAGTGTTGAACCTTTCTTTTGATAGAGCAGTTTTGAAATCCTCTTTTTGTAAAATCTGCAAAAGGATATTTGGATAGCTTTGAGGATTTCGTTGGAAACGGGATTGTCTTCATACAAAATCTAGACAGAAGCATTCTCAGAAGCTTCAATGGGATGTTTCAATTGAAGTCACAGAGTTGAACAGTCCCTTTCATAGAGCAGGTTTGAAACAATCTTTTTGTAGTATCTGGAAGTGGACGTTTGGAGAGTTCTCAGGAATACGGTGATAAAGGAATTATCTTCCAATAAAAGCTAGATAGAAGCAATGTCAGAAACTTTTTCATGATGTATCTACGCAGCTAACAGAGTTGAACCTTTTTTTTGAGAGAGCAGTTTTGAAACACTCTTTTTGTGGAATCTGCAAGTGGATGTTTGTCTAGCTTTGAGGATTTCGTTGGAAACGGGATTACATATAAAAAGCAGACAGCAGCATTCCCAGAAACTTCTTTGTGATGTTTGCATTCAAGTCACAGAGTTGAACATTCCCTTTCATAGAGCAGGATTGAAACACTCTTTTTGTAGTATCTGGATGTGGACATTTGGAGCGCTTTCAGGCCTATGGTGAAAAAGGAAATATCTTCCCCTGAAAACTAGACAGAAGCATTCTCAGAAACTTATTTGTGATGTGCGCCCTCAACTAACAGTGTTGAAGCTTTCTTTTGATAGAGCAGTTTTGAAACACTCTTTTTGTAAAATCTGCAAGAGGATATTTGGATAGCTTTGAGGATTTCGTTGGAAACGGGATTGTCTTCATATAAACTCTAGACAGAAGCATTCTCAGAAGCTTCATTGGGATGTTTCAATTGAAGTCACAGTGTTGAACAGTCCCTTTCATAGAGCAGGTTTGAAACACTCTTTTTGTAGTATCTGGAAGTGGACATTTGGAGCGCTCTCAGGACTACGGTGAAAAAGGAAATATCTTCCAATAAAAGCTACATAGAAGCAATGTCAGAAACTTTTTCATGATGTATCTACTCAGCTAACAGAGTTGAACCTTTCTTTTGAGAGAGCAGTTTTGAAACACTCTTTTTGTGGAATCTGCAAGTGGATATTTGTCTAGCTTTGAGGATTTCGTTGGAAACGGGATTACATATACAAAGCAGACAGCAGCATTCCCAGTAACTTCTTTGTGATGTTTGCATTCAAGTCACAGAGTTGAGCATTCCCTTTCATAGAGCAGGTTTGAAACACTCTTTTTGTAGTATCTGGATGTGGACATTTGGAGCGCTTTCAGGCCTATGGTGAAAAAGGAAATATGTTCCCCTGAAAACTAGACAGAAGCATTCGCAGAATCTTATTTGTGATGTGCGCCCTCAACTAACAGTGTTGAAGCTTTCTTTTGATAGAGCAGTTTTGAAACACTCTTTTTGTAAAATCTGCAAGAGGATATTTGGATAGCTTTGAGGATTTCGTTGGAAACGGGATTGTCTTCATATAAACTCTAGACAGAAGCATTCTCAGAAGCTTCATTGGGATGTTTCAATTGAAGTCACAGTGTTGAAAAGTCCCTTTCATAGAGCAGGTTTGAAACACTCTTTTTGTAGTAGCTGGAAGTGGACATTTGGAGAGATCTCAGGAATAGAGTGATAAAGGAAATATCTTCCAATAAAAGCTAGATAGAAGCAATGTCAGAAACTTTTTCATGATGTATCTACGCAGCTAATAGAGTTGAACCTTTTTTTTGAGAGAGCAGTTTTGAAACACTCTTTTTGTGGAATCTGCAAGTGGATGTTTGTCTAGCTTTGAGGATTTCGTTGGAAACGGGATTACATATAAAAAGCAGACAGCAGCATTCCCAGAAACTTCTTTGTGATGTTTGCATTCAAGTCACAGAGTTGAAAATTCCCTTTCATAGAGCAGGTTTGAAACACTCTTTTTGTAGTATCTGGATGTGGACATTTGGAGCGCTTTCAGGCCTATGGTGAAAAAGGAAATATCTTCCCCTGAAAACTAGACAGAAGCATTCTCAGAAACTTATTTGTGATGTGCGCCCTCAACTAACAGTGTTGAAGCTTTCTTTTGATAGAGCAGTTTTGAAACACCCTTTTTGTAAAATCTGCAAGAGGATATTTGGATAGCTTTGAGGATTTCGTTGGAAACGGGATTGTCTTCATATAAAATCTAGACAGAAGCATTCTCAGAAGCTTCATTGGGATGTTTCAATTGAAGTCACAGTGTTGAACAGTCCCTTTCATAGAGCAGGTTTGAAACACTCTTTTTGTAGTATCTGGAAGTGGACATTTGGAGCGTTCTCAGGACTACAGTGAAAAAGGAAATATCTTCCAATAAAAGCTACATAGAAGCAATGTCAGAAACTTTTTCATGATGTATCTACTCAGCTAACAGAGTTGAACCTTTCTTTTGAGAGAGCAGTTTTGAAACACTCTTTTTGTGGAATCTGCAAGTGGATATTTGTCTAGCTTTGAGGATTTCGTTGGAAACGGGATTACATATACAAAGCAGACAGCAGCATTCCCAGTAACTTCTTTGTGATGTTTGCATTCAAGTCACAGAGTTGAACATTCCCTTTCATAGAGCAGGTTTGAAACACTCTTTTTGTAGTATCTGGATGTGGACATTTGGAGCGCTTTCAGGCCTATGGTGAAAAAGGAAATATGTTCCCCTGAAAACTAGACAGAAGCATTCTCAGAATCTTATTTGTGATGTGCGCCCTCAACTAACAGTGTTGAAGCTTTCTTTTGATAGAGCAGTTTTGAAACACTCTTTTTGTAAAATCTGCAAGAGGATATTTGGATAGCTTTGAGGATTTCGTTGGAAACGGGATTGTCTTCATATAAACTCTAGACAGAAGCATTCTCAGAAGCTTCATTGGGATGTTTCAATTGAAGTCACAGTGTTGAAAAGTCCCTTTCATAGAGCAGGTTTGAAACACTCTTTTTGTAGTATCTGGAAGTGGACATTTGGAGCGCTCTCAGGACTACGGTGAAAAAGGAAATATCTTCCAATAAAAGCTACATAGAAGCAATGTCAGAAACTTTTTCATGATGTATCTACTCAGCTAACAGAGTTGAACCTTTCTTTTGAGAGAGCAGTTTTGAAACACTCTTTTTGTGGAATCTGCAAGTGGATATTTGTCTAGCTTTGAGGATTTCGTTGGAAACGGGATTACATATACAAAGCAGACAGCAGCATTCCCAGTAACTTCTTTGTGGTGTTTGCATTCAAGTCACAGAGTTGAGCATTCCCTTTCATAGAGCAGGTTTGAAACACTCTTTTTGTAGTATCTGGATGTGGACATTTGGAGCGCTTTCAGGCCTATGGTGAAAAAGGAAATATGTTCCCCTGAAAACTAGACAGAAGCATTCGCAGAATCTTATTTGTGATGTGCGCCCTCAACTAACAGTGTTGAAGCTTTCTTTTGATAGAGCAGTTTTGAAACACTCTTTTTGTAAAATCTGCAAGAGGATATTTGGATAGCTTTGAGGATTTCGTTGGAAACGGGATTGTCTTCATATAAACTCTAGACAGAAGCATTCTCAGAAGCTTCATTGGGATGTTTCAATTGAAGTCACAGTGTTGAAAAGTCCCTTTCATAGAGCAGGTTTGAAACACTCTTTTTGTAGTAGCTGGAAGTGGACATTTGGAGAGATCTCAGGAATAGAGTGATAAAGGAAATATCTTCCAATAAAAGCTAGATAGAAGCAATGTCAGAAACTTTTTCATGATGTATCTACTCAGCTAACAGAGTTGAACCTTTTTTTTGAGAGAGCAGTTTTGAAACACTCTTTTTGTGGAATCTGCAAGTGGATGTTTGTCTAGCTTTGAGGATTTCGTTGGAAACGGGATTACATATAAAAAGCAGACAGCAGCATTCCCAGAAACTTCTTTGTGATGTTTGCATTCAAGTCACAGAGTTGAACATTCCCTTTCATAGAGCAGGTTTGAAACACTCTTTTTGTAGTATCTGGATGTGGACATTTGGAGCTCTTTCAGGCCTATGGTGAAAAAGGAAATATCTTCCCCTGAAAACTAGACAGAAGCATTCTCAGAAACTTATTTGTGATGTGCGCCCTCAACTAACAGTGTTGAAGCTTTCTTTTGATAGAGCAGTTTTGAAACACCCTTTTTGTAAAATCTGCAAGAGGATATTTGGATAGCTTTGAGGATTTCGTTGGAAACGGGATTGTCTTCATATAAAATCTAGACAGAAGCATTCTCAGAAGCTTCATTGGGATGTTTCAATTGAAGTCACAGTGTTGAACAGTCCCTTTCATAGAGCAGGTTTGAAACACTCTTTTTGTAGTATCTGGAAGTGGACATTTGGAGCGTTCTCAGGACTACGGTGAAAAAGGAAATATCTTCCAATAAAAGCTACATAGAAGCAATGTCAGAAACTTTTTCATGATGTATCTACTCAGCTAACAGAGTTGAACCTTTCTTTTGAGAGAGCAGTTTTGAAACACTCTTTTTGTAGAATCTGCAAGTGGATATTTGTCTAGCTTTGAGGATTTCGTTGGAAACGGGATTACATATACAAAGCAGACAGCAGCATTCCCAGTAACTTCTTTGTGATGTTTGCATTCAAGTCACAGAGTTGAACATTCCCTTTCATAGAGCAGGTTTGAAACACTCTTTTTGTAGTATCTGGATGTGGACATTTGGAGCGCTTTCAGGCCTATGGTGAAAAAGGAAATATGTTCCCCTGAAAACTAGACAGAAGCATTCGCAGAATCTTATTTGTGATGTGCGCCCTCAACTAACAGTGTTGAAGCTTTCTTTTGATAGAGCAGTTTTGAAACACTCTTTTTGTAAAATCTGCAAGAGGATATTTGGATAGCTTTGAGGATTTCGTTGGAAACGGGATTGTCTTCATATAAACTCTAGACAGAAGCATTCTCAGAAGCTTCATTGGGATGTTTCAATTGAAGTCACAGTGTTGAAAAGTCCCTTTCATAGAGCAGGTTTGAAACACTCTTTTTGTAGTAGCTGGAAGTGGACATTTGGAGAGATCTCAGGAATACAGTGATAAATGAAATATCTTCCAATAAAAGCTAGATAGAAGCAATGTCAGAAACTTTTTCATGATGTATCTACTCAGCTAACAGAGTTGAACCTTTCCTTTGAGAGAGCAGTTTTGAAACAGTCTTTTGGTGGAATCTGCAAGTGGATATTTGTCTAGCTTTGAGGATTTGGTTGGAAACGGGATTACATATAAAAAGCAGACAGCAGCATTCCCAGAAACTTCTTTGTGATGTTTGCATTCAAGTCACAGAGTTGAACATTCCCTTTCATAGAGCAGGTTTGAAACACTCTTTTTGTAGTATCTGGATGTGGACATTTGGAGCGCTTTCAGGCCTATGGTGAAAAAGGAAATATCTTCCCCTGAAAACTAGACAGAAGCATTCTCAGAAACTTATTTGTGATGTGCGCCCTCAACTAACAGTGTTGAAGCTTTCTTTTGATAGAGCAGTTTTGAAACACTCTTTTTGTGGAATCTGCAAGTGGATATTTGTCTAGCTTTGAGGATTTCGTTGGAAACGGGATTACATATACAAAGCAGACAGCAGCATTCCCTGAATCTTCTTTGTGATGTTTGCATTCAAGTCACAGAGTTGAACATTCCCTTTCATAGAGCAGGTTTGAAACACTCTTTTTGTAGTATCTGGATGTGGACATTTGGAGCGCTTTCAGGCCTATGGTGAAAAAGGAAATATCTTCCCCTGAAAACTAGACAGAAGCATTCTCAGAAACTTATTTGTGATGTGCGCCCTCAACTAACAGTGTTGAACCTTTCTTTTGATAGAGCAGTTTTGAAATCCTCTTTTTGTAAAATCTGCAAGAGGATATTTGGATAGCTTTGAGGATTTCGTTGGAAACGGGATTGTCTTCATACAAAATCTAGACAAAAGCATTCTCAGAAGCTTCAATGGGATGTTTCAATTGAAGTCACAGTGTTGAACAGTCCCTTTCATAGAGCAGGTTTGAAACAATCTTTTTGTAGTATCTGGAAGTGGACGTTTGGAGAGTTCTCAGGAATACGGTGATAAAGGAATTATCTTCCAATAAAAGCTAGATAGAAGCAATGTCAGAAACTTTTTCATGATGTATCTACGCAGCTAACAGAGTTGAACCTTTTTTTTGAGAGAGCAGTTTTAAAACACTCTTTTTGTGGAATCTGCAAGTGGATGTTTGTCTAGCTTTGAGGATTTCGTTGGAAACGGGATTACATATAAAAAGCAGACAGCAGCATTCCCAGAAACTTCTTTGTGATGTTTGCATTCAAGTCACAGAGTTGAACATTCCCTTTCATAGAGCAGGTTTGAAACACTCTTTTTGTAGTATCTGGATGTGGACATTTGGAGCGCTTTCAGGCCTATGGTGAAAAAGGAAATATCTTCCCCTGAAAACTAGACAGAAGCATTCTCAGAAACTTATTTGTGATGTGCGCCCTCAACTAACAGTGTTGAAGCTTTCTTTTGATAGAGCAGTTTTGAAACACTCTTTTTGTAAAATCTGCAAGAGGATATTTGGATAGCTTTGAGGATTTCGTTGGAAACGGGATTGTCTTCATATAAACTCTAGACAGAAGCATTCTCAGAAGCTTCATTGGGATGTTTCAATTGAAGTCACAGTGTTGAACAGTCCCTTTCATAGAGCAGGTTTGAAACACTCTTTTTGTAGTATCTGGAAGTGGACATTTGGAGCGTTCTCAGGACTACGGTGAAAAAGGAAATATCTTCCAATAAAAGCTACATAGAAGCAATGTCAGAAACTTTTTCATGATGTATCTACTCAGCTAACAGAGTTGAACCTTTCTTTTGAGAGAGCAGTTTTGAAACACTCTTTTTGTGGAATCTGCAAGTGGATATTTGTCTAGCTTTGAGGATTTCGTTGGAAACGGGATTACATATACAAAGCAGACAGCAGCATTCCCAGTAACTTCTTTGTGATGTTTGCATTCAAGTCACAGAGTTGAACATTCCCTTTCATAGAGCAGGTTTGAAACATTCTTTTTGTAGTATCTGGATGTGGACATTTGGAGCGCTTTCAGGCCTATGGTGAAAAAGGAAATATGTTCCCCTGAAAACTAGACAGAAGCATTCGCAGAATCTTATTTGTGATGTGCGCCCTCAACTAACAGTGTTGAAGCTTTCTTTTGATAGAGCAGTTTTGAAACACTCTTTTTGTAAAATCTGCAAGAGGATATTTGTATAGCTTTGAGGATTTCGTTGGAAACGGGATTGTCTTCATATAAACTCTAGACAGAAGCATTCTCAGAAGCTTCATTGGGATGTTTCAATTGAAGTCACAGTGTTGAAAAGTCCCTTTCATAGAGCAAGTTTGAAACACTCTTTTTGTAGTAGCTGGAAGTGGACATTTGGAGAGATCTCAGGAATACAGTGATAAAGGAAATATCTTCCAATAAAAGCTAGATAGAAGCAATGTCAGAAACTTTTTCATGATGTATCTACTCAGCTAACAGAGTTGAACCTTTCCTTTGAGAGAGCAGTTTTGAAACAATCTTTTGGTGGAATCTGCAAGTGGATATTTGTCTAGTTTGAGGATTTGGTTGGAAACGGGATTACATATAAAAAGCAGACAGCAGCATTCCCAGAAACTTCTTTGTGATGTTTGCATTCAAGTCACAGAGTTGAACATTCCCTTTCATAGAGCAGGTTTGAAACACTCTTTTTGTAGTATCTGGATGTGGACATTTGGAGCGCTTTCAGGCCTATGGTGAAAAAGGAAATATCTTCCCCTGAAAACTAGACAGAAGCATTCTCAGAAACTTATTTGTGATGTGCGCCCTCAACTAACAGTGTTGAAGCTTTCTTTTGATAGAGCAGTTTTGAAACACTCTTTTTGTGGAATCTGCAAGTGGATATTTGTCTAGCTTTGAGGATTTCGTTGGAAACGGGATTACATATACAAAGCAGACAGCAGCATTCCCAGAATCTTCTTTGTGATGTTTGCATTCAAGTCACAGAATTGAACTTTCCCTTTCATAGAGCAGGTTTGAAACACTCTTTTTGTAGTATCTGGATGTGGACATTTGGAGCGCTTTCAGGCCTATGGTGAAAAAGGAAATATCTTCCCCTGAAAACTAGACAGAAGCATTCTCAGAAACTTATTTGTGATGTGCGCCCTCAACTAACAGTGTTGAACCTTTCTTTTGATAGAGCAGTTTTGAAATCCTCTTTTTGTAAAATCTGCAAGAGGATATTTGGATAGCTTTGAGGATTTCGTTGGAAACGGGATTGTCTTCATACAAAATCTAGACAAAAGCATTCTCAGAAGCTTCAATGGGATGTTTCAATAGAAGTCACAGTGTTGAACAGTCCCTTTCATAGAGCAGGTTTGAAACAATCTTTTTGTAGTATCTGGAAGTGGACGTTTGGAGAGTTCTCAGGAATACGGTGATAAAGGAATTATCTTCCAATAAAAGCTAGATAGAAGCAATGTCAGAAACTTTTTCATGATGTATCTACGCAGCTAACAGTGTTGAACCTTTTTTTTGAGAGAGCAGTTTTGAAACACTCTTTTTGTGGAATCTGCAAGTGGATGTTTGTCTAGCTTTGAGGATTTCGTTGGAAACGGGATTACATATAAAAAGCAGACAGCAGCATTCCCAAAAACTTCTTTGTGATGTTTGCATTCAAGTCACAGAGTTGAACATTCCCTTTCATAGAGCAGGTTTGAAACACTCTTTTTGTAGTATCTGGATGTGGACATTTGGAGCGCTTTCAGGCCTATGGTGAAAAAGGAAATATCTTCCCCTGAAAACTAGACAGAAGCATACTCAGAATCTTATTTGTGATGTGCGCCCTCAACTAAGAGTGTTGAAGCTTTCTTTTGATAGAGCAGTTTTGAAACACTCTTTTTGTAAAATCTGCAAGAGGATATTTGGATAGCTTTGAGGATTTCGTTGGAAACGGGATTGTCTTCATATAAACTCTAGACAGAAGCATTCTCAGAAGCCTCATTGGGATGTTTCAATTGAAGTCACAGTGTTGAACAGTCCCTTTCATAGAGCAGGTTTGAAACACTCTTTTTGCAGTATCTGGAAGTGGACATTTGGAGAGATCTCAGGAATACGGTGATAAAGGAAATATCTTCCAATAAAAGCTAGATAGAAGCAATGTCAGAAACTTTTTCATGACGTATCTACTCAGCTAACAGAGTTGAACCTTTCTTTTCAGAGAGGAGTTTTGAAACACTCTTTTTGTGGAATCTGCAAGTGGATATTTGTCTAGCTTTGAGGATTTAGTTGGAAACGGGATTACATATAAAAGGCAGACAGCAGCATTCCCAGAAACTTCTTTGTGATGTTTGCATTCAAGTCACAGAGTTGAACATTCCCTTTCATAGAGCAGGTTTGAAACACTCTTTTTGAAGAATCTAGATGTGGACAATTGGAGCGCATTCTGGCCTATGGTGAAAAAGGAAATATCTTCCCCTGAAAACTAGACAGGAGCATTCTCAGAAACTTATTTGTGATGTGCGCCCTCAACTAACAGTGTTGAAGCTTTCTTTTGCTAGAGCAGTTTTGAAACACTCTTTTTGTAAAATCTGCAAGAGGATATTTGGATTGCTTTGAGGATTTCGTTGGAAACGGGATTGTCTTCATATAAACTCTAGACAGAAGTATTCTCAGAAGCTTCATTGGGATGTTTCAATTGAAGTCACAGTGTTGAACAGTCCCTTTCATAGAGCAGGTTTGAAACACTCTTTTTGTAGTAGCTGGAAGTGGACATTTGGAGAGATCTTTGGAATACGGTGATAAAGGAAATATCTTCCAATAAAAGCTAGATAGAAGCAATGTCAGAAACTTTTTCATGATGTATCTACTCAGCTAACAGAGTTGAACCTTTCCTTTGAGAGAGCAGTTTTGAAACACTCTTTTTGTGGAATCTGCAAGTGGATATTTGTCTAGCTTTGAGGATTTCGTTGGAAACGGGATTACATATAAAAAGCAGACAGCAGCATTCCCAGAAACTTCTTTGTGATGTTTGCATTCAAGTCACAGAGTTGAACATTCCCTTTCATAGAGCAGGTTTGAAACACTCTTTTTGTAGTATCTGGATGTGGACATTTGGAGCACGTTCAGGCCTATGGTGAAAAAGGAAATATCTTCCCCTGAAAACTAGACAGAAGAATTCTCAGAATCTTATTTGTGATGTGCGCCCTCAACTAACAGTGTTGAAGCTTTCTTTTGATAGAGCAGTTTTGAAACACTCTTTTTGTAATATCTGCAAGAGGATATTTGGATAGCTTTGAGGATTTCGTTGGAAACGGGATTGTCTTCATATAAACTCTAGACAGAAGCATTCTCAGAAGCTTCATTGGGATGTTTCAATTGAAGTCACAGTGTTGAACAGTCCCTTTCATAGAGCAGGTTTGAAACACTCTTTTTGTAGTATCTGGAAGTGGACATTTGGAGCGCTCTCAGGACTACGGTGAAAAAGGAAATATCTTCCAATAAAAGCTAGATAGAAGCAATGTCAGAAACTTTTTCATGATGTATCTACTCAGCTAACAGAGTTGAACCTTTCTTTTGAGAGAGCAGTTTTGAAACACTCTTTTTGTGGAATCTGCAAGTGGATATTTGTCTAGCTTTGAGGATTTCGTTGGAAACGGGATTACATATAAAAAGCAGACAGCAGCATTCCCAGAAACTTCTTTGTGATGTTTGCATTCAAGTCACAGAGTTGAACATTCCCTTTCATAGAGCAGGTTTGAAACACTCTTTTTGTAGTATCTGGATGTGGACATTTGGAGCGCTTTCAGGCCTATGGTGAAAAAGGAAATATCTTCCCCTGAAAACTAGACAGAAGCATTCTCAGAATCTTATTTGTGATGTGCGCCCTCAACTAACAGTGTTGAAGCTTTCTTTTGTTAGAGCAGTTTTGAAACACTCTTTTTGTAAAATCTGCAAGAGGATATTTGGATAGCTTTGAGGATTTCGTTGGAAACGGGATTGTCTTCATATAAACTCTAGACAGAAGCATTCTCAGAAGCTTCATTGGGATGTTTCAATTGAAGTCACAGTGTTGAAAAGTCCCTTTCATAGAGCAGGTTTGAAACACTCTTTTTGTAGTATCTGGAAGTGGACATTTGGAGCGCTCTCAGGACTACGGTGAAAAAGGAAATATCTTCCAATAAAAGCTACATAGAAGCAATGTCAGAAACTTTTTCATGATGTATCTACTCAGCTAACAGAGTTGAACCTTTCTTTTGAGGGAGCAGTTTTGAAGCACTCTTTTTGTGGAATCTGCAAGTGGATATTTGTCTAGCTTTGAGGATTTCGTTGGAAACGGGATTACATATAAAAAGCAGACAGCAGCATTCCCAGTAACTTCTTTGTGATGTTTGCATTAAAGTCACAGAATTGAACATTCCCTTTCATAGAGCAGGTTTGAAACACTCTTTTTGTAGTATCTGGATGTGGACATTTGGAGCGCTTTCAGGCCTATGGTGAAAAAGGAAATATCTTCCCCTGAAAACTAGACAGAAGCATTCTCAGAATCTTATTTGTGATGTGCGCCCTCAACTAACAGTGTTGAAGCTTTCTTTTGATAGAGCAGTTTTGAAACACTCTTTTTGTAAAATCTGCAAGAGGATATTTGGATAGCTTTGAGGATTTCGTTGGAAACGGGATTGTCTTCATATAAACTCTAGACAGAAGCATTCTCAGAAGCTTCATTGGGATGTTTCAATTGAAGTCACAGTGTTGAACAGTCCCTTTCATAGAGCAGGTTTGAAACACTCTTTTTGTAGTATCTGGATGTGGACATTTGGAGCGCTTTCAGGCCTATGGTGAAAAAGGAAATATCTTCCCCTGAAAACTAGATAGAAGCATTCTCAGAAACTTATTTGTGATGTGCGCCCTCAACTAACAGTGTTGAAGCTTTCTTTTGATAGAGCAGTTTTGAAACACTTTTTTTGTGGGATCTGCAAGTGGATATTTGTCTAGATTTGAGGATTTCGTTGGAAACGGGATTACATATAAAAAGCAGACAGCAGCATTCCCAGTAACTTCTTTGTGATGTTTGCATTCAAGTCACAGAGTTGAACATTCCCTTTCATAGAGCAGGTTTGAAACACTCTTTTTGTAGTATCTGGATGTGGACATTTGGAGCGCTTTCAGGCCTATGGTGAAAAAGGAAATATCTTCCCCTGAAAACTAGACAGAAGCATTCTCAGAATCTTATTTGTGATGTGCGCCCTCAACTAACAGTGTTGAAGCTTTCTTTTGATAGAGCAGTTTTGAAACACTCTTTTTGTAAAATCTGCAAGAGGATATTTGGATAGCTTTGAGGATTTCGTTGGAAACGGGATTGTCTTCATATAAACTCTAGACAGAAGCATTCTCAGAAGCTTCATTGGGATGTTTCAATTGAAGTCACAGTGTTGAACAGTCCCTTTCATAGAGCAGGTTTGAAACACTCTTTTTGTAGTATCTGGAAGTGGACATTTGGAGCGCTCTCAGGACTACGGTGAAAAAGGAAATATCTTCCAATAAAAGCTAGATAGAAGCAATGTCAGAAACTTTTTCATGATTTATCTACTCAGCTAACAGAGTTGAACCTTTCTTTTGAGAGAGCAGTTTTGAAACACTCTTTTTGTGGAATCTGCAAGTGGATATTTGTCTAGCTTTGAGGATTTCGTTGGAAACGGGATTACATATAAAAAGCAGACAGCAGCATTCCCAGAAACTTCTTTGTGATGTTTGCATTCAAGTCACAGAGTTGAACATTCCCTTTCATAGAGCAGGTTTGAAACACTCTTTTTGTAGTATCTGGATGTGGACATTTGGAGCACGTTCAGGCCTATGGTGAAAAAGGAAATATCTTCCCCTGAAAACTAGACAGAAGCATTCTCAGAATCTTATTTGTGATGTGCGCCCTCAACTAACAGTGTTGAAGCTTTCTTTTGATACAGCAGTTTTGAAACACTCTTTTTGTAAAATCTGCAAGAGGATATTTGGATAGCTTTGAGGATTTCTTTGGAAACGGGATTGTCTTCATATAAACTCTAGACAGAAGCATTCTGAGAAGCTTCATTGGGATGTTTCAATTGAAGTCACAGTGTTGAACAGTCCCTTTCATAGAGCAGGTTTGAAACACTCTTTTTGTAGTATCTGGAAGTGGACATTTGGAGCGCTCTCAGGACTACGGTGAAAAAGGAATTATCTTCCAATAAAAGCTAGATAGAAGCAATGTCAGAAACTTTTTCATGATGTATCTACTCAGCTAACAGAGTTGAACCTTTCTTTTGAGAGAGCAGTTTTGAAACACTCTTTTTGTGGAATCTGCAAGTGGATATTTGTCAAGCTTTGAGGATTTCGTTGGAAACGGGATTACATATAAAAAGCAGACAGCAGCATTCCCAGTAACTTCTTTGTGATGTTTGCATTCAAGTCACAGAGTTGAACATTCCCTTTCATAGAGCAGGTTTGAAACACTCTTTTTGTAGTATCTGGATGTGGATATTTGGAGCGCTTTCAGGCCTATGGTGAAAAAGGAAATATCTTCCCCTGAAAACTGGACAGAAGCATTCTCAGAATCTTATTTGTGATGTGCGCCCTCAACTAACAGTGTTGAAGCTTTCTTTTGATAGAGCAGTTTTGAAACACTTTTTTGTAAAATCTGCAAGAGGATATTTGG
The DNA here is from genome assembly GCF_000001405.40 of Homo sapiens. Lineage (NCBI taxonomy): Eukaryota > Metazoa > Chordata > Mammalia > Primates > Hominidae > Homo > Homo sapiens. Next base: position 75,586 of record NT_187370.1, read on the forward strand.
ATAGCTTTGAGGATTTCGTTGGAAACGGGATTGTCTTCATATAAACTCTAGACAGAAGCATTCTCAGAAGCTTCATTGGGATGTTTCAATTGAAGTCACAGTGTTGAACAGTCCCTTTCATAGAGCAGGTTTGAAACACTCTTTTTGTAGTATCTGGATGTGGACATTTGGAGCGCTTTCAGGCCTATGGTGAAAAAGGAAATATCTTCCTCTGAAAACTAGACAGAAGCATTCTCAGAAACTTATTTGTGATGTGCGCCCTCAACTAACAGTGTTGAAGCTTTCTTTTGATAGAGCAGTTTTGAAACACTCTTTTTGTGGAATCTGCAAGTGGATATTAGTCTAGCTTTGAGGATTTCGTTGGAAACGGGATTACATATAAAAAGCAGACAGCAGCATTCCCAGAATCTTCTTTGTGATGTTTGCATTCAAGTCACAGAGTTGAACATTCCCTTTCATAGAGCAGGTTTGAAACACTCTTTTTATAGTATCTGGATGTGGACATTTGGAGCGCTTTCAGGCCTATGGTGAAAAAGGAAATATCTTCTCCTGAAAACTAGACAGAAGCATTCTCAGAATCTTATTTGTGATGTGCGCCCTCAACTAACAGTGTTGAAGCTTTCTTTTGATAGAGCAGTTTTGAAACACTCTTTTTGTAAAATCTGCAAGAGGATATTTGGATAGCTATGAGGATTTCATTGGAAACGGGATTGTCTTCATATAAACTCTAGACAGAAGCATTCTCAGAAGCTTCATTGGGATGTATCAATTGAATTCACAGTGTTGAACATTCCGTTTCATAGAGCAGGTTTGAAACACTCTTTTTGTAGTATCTGGAAGTGGACATTTGGAGCGCTCTCAGGACTACGGTGAAAAAGGAAATATCTTCCAATAAAAGCTACATAGAAGCAATGTCAGAAACTTTTTCATGATGTATCTACTCAGCTAACAGAGTTGAAGCTTTCTTTTGAGAGAGCAGTTTTGAAACACTCTTTTTGTGTAATCTGGAAGTGGATATTTGTCTAGCTTTGAGGATTTCGTTGGAAACGGGATTACATATAAAAAGCAGACAGCAGCATTCCCAGTAACTTCTTTGTGATGTTTGCATTCAAGTCACAGAGTTGAACATTCCCTTTCATAGAGCAGGTTTGAAACACTCTTTTTGTAGTATCTGGATGTGGACATTTGGAGCGCTTTCAGGCCTATGGTGAAAAAAGAAATATCTTCCCCTGAAAACTAGACAGAAGCATTCTCAGAATCTTATTTGTGATGTGCGCCCTCAACTAACAGTGTTGAAGCTTTCTTTTGATAGAGCAGTTTTGAAACACTCTTTTTGTAAAATCTGCAAGAGGATATTTGGATAGCTTTGAGGATTTCGTTGGAAACGGGATTACATATAAAAAGCAGACAGCAGCATTCCCAGAAACTTCTTTGTGATGTTTGCATTCAAGTCACAGAGTTGAACATTCCCTTTCATAGAGGAGGTTTGAAACACTCTTTTTGTAGTATCTGGATGTGCACATTTGGAGCGCTTTCAGGCCTATGGTGAAAAAGGAAATATCTTCCCCTGAAAACTAGACAGAAGCATTCTCAGAATCTTATTTGTGATGTGCGCCCTCAACTAACAGTGTTGAAGCTTTCTTTTGATAGAGCAGTTTTGAAACACTCTTTTTGTAAAATCTGCAAGAGGATATTTGGATAGCTTTGAGGATTTCTTTGGAAACGGGAATGTCTTCATAAAAACTCTAGACAGAAGCATTCTCAGAAGCTTCATTGGGATGTTTCAATTGAAGTCACAGTGTTGAACAGTCCCTTTCATAGAGCAGGTTTGAAACATTCTTTTTGTAGTATCTGGATGTGGACATTTGGAGCGCTTTCAGGCCTATGGTGAAAAAGGAAATATCTTCCCCTGAAAACTAGACAGAAGCATTCTCAGAAACTTATTTGTGATGTGCGCCCTCAACTAACAGTGTTGAAGCTTTCTTTTGATAGAGCCGTTTTGAAACACTCTTTTTGTGGAATCTGGAAGTGGATATTTGTCTAGCTTTGAGGATTTCGTTGGAAACGGGATTACATATAAAAAGCAGACAGCAGCATTCCCAGAAACTTCTTTGTGATGTTTGCATTCAAGTCACAGAGTTGAACATTCCCTTTCATAGAGCAGGTTTGAAACACACTTTTTGTAGTATCTGGATGTGGACATTTGGAGCACTTTCAGGCCTATGGTGAAAAAGGAAATATCTTCCCCAGGAAACTAGACAGAAGCATTCTCAGAATCTTATTTGTGATGTGCGCCCTCAACTAACAGTGTTGAAGCTTTCTCTTGATAGAGCAGTTTTGAAACACTCTTTTTGTAAAATCTGCAAGAGGATATTTGGATAGCTTTGAGGATTTCGTTGGAAACGGGATTGTCTTCATATAAACTCTAGACAGAAGCATTCTCAGAAGCTTCATTGGGATGTTTCAATTGAAGTCACAGTGTTGAACAGTCCCTTTCATAGAGCAGGTTTGAAACACTCTTTTTGTAGTATCTGGAAGTGGACATTTGGAGAGATCTCAGGACTACGGTGAAAAAGGAAATATCTTCCAATAAAAGCTAGATAGAAGAAATGTCAGAAACTTTTTCAGGATGTATCTACTCAGCTAACAGAGTTGAACCTTTCTTTTGAGAGAGCAGTTTTGAAACACTCTTTTTGTGGAATCAGCAAGTGGATATTTGTATACATTTGAGGATTTCGTTGGAAACGGGATTACATATAAAAAGCAGACAGCAGCATTCCCAGAAACTTCTTTGTGATGTTGCATTCAAGTCACAGAGTAGAACATTCCCTTTCATAGAGCAGGTTTGAAACACTCTTTTTGTAGTATCTGGATGTGGACATTTGGAGCGCTTTCAGGCCTATGGTGAAAAAGGAAATATCTTCCCCTGAAAACTAGACAGAAGCATTCTCAGAATCTTATTTGTGATGTGCGCCCTCAATTAACAGTGTTGAAGCTTTCTTTTGATAGAGCAGTTTTGAACCACTCTTTTTGTAAAATCTGCAAGAGGATATTTGGATAGCTTTGAGGATTTCGTTGGATACGGGATTGTCTTCATATAAACTCTAGACAGAAGCATTCTCAGAAGCTTCATTGGGATGTTTCAATTGAAGTCACAGTGTTGAACAGTCCCTTTCATAGAGCAGGTTTGAAACACTCTTTTTGTAGTACCTGGAAATGGACATTTGGAGCGCTCTCAGGACTATGGTGAAAAAGGAAATATTTTCCAATAAAAGCTAGATAGAAGCAATGTCAGAAACTTTTTCATGATGTATCTACTCAGCTAACAGAGTTGAACCTTTCTTTTGAGAGAGCAGTTTTGAAACACTCTTTTTGTGGAATCTGCAAGTGGATATTTGTCTAGCTTTGAGGATTTCGTTGGAAACGGGATTACATATAAAAAGCAGACAGCAGCATTCCCAGAAACTTCTTTGTGATGTTTGCATTCAAGTCACAGAGTTGAACATTCCCTTTCATAGAGCAGGTTTGAAACACTCTTTTTGTAGTATCTGGATGTGGACATTTGGAGCGCTTTCAGGCCTATGGTGAAAAAGGAAATATCTTCCCCTGAAAACTAGACAGAAGCATTCTCAGAATCTTATTTGTGATGTGCGCCCTCAACTAACAGTGTTGAAGCTTTCTTTTGATAGAGCAGTTTTGAAACACTCTTTTTGTAAAATCTGCAAGAGGATATTTGGATAGCTTTGAGGATTTCGTTGGAAACGGGACTGTCTTCATATAAACTCTAGACAGAAGCATTCGCAGAAGATTCATTGGAATGTTTCAATTGAAGTCACAGTTTTGAACAGTCCCTTTCATAGAGCAGGTTTGAAACACTCTTTTTGTAGTATCTGGAAGTGGACATTTGGAGCGCTCTCAGGACTATGGTGAAAAAGGAAATATCTTCCAATAAAAGCTACATAGAAGCAATGTCAGAAACTTTTTCATGATGTATCTACTCAGCTAACAGAGTTGAACCTTTCTTTTGAGAGAGCAGTTTTGAAACACTCTTTTTGTGGAATCTGCAAGTGGATATTTGTCTAGCTTTGAGGATTTCGTTGGAAACGGGATTACATATAAAAAGCAGACAGCAGCATTCCCAGTAACTTGTTTGTGATGTTTCCATTCAAGTGACAGAGTTGAACATTCCCTTTCATAGAGCAGGTTTGAAACACTCTTTTTGTAGTATCTGGATGTGGACATTTGGAGCGCTTTCAGGCCTATGGTGAAAAAGGAAATATCTTCCCCTGAAAACTAGACAGAAGCATTCTCAGAATCTTATTTGTGATGTGCGCCCTCAACTAACAGTGTTGAAGCTTTCTTTTGATAGAGCAGTTTTGAAACACTCTTTTTGTAAAATCTGCAAGAGGATATTTGGATAGCTTTGAGGATTTCGTTGGAAACGGGATTGTCTTCATATAAACTCTAGACAGAAGCATTCTCAGAAGCTTCATTGGGATGTTTCAATTGAAGTCACAGTGTTGAACAGTCCCTTTCATACAGCAGGTTTGAAACACTCTTTTTGTAGTATCTGGATGTGGACATTTGGAGCGCTTTCAGGCCTATGGTGAAAAAGGAAATATCTTCCCCTGAAAACTAGACAGAAGCATTCTCAGAAACTTATTTGTGATGTGCGCCCTCAACTAACAGTGTTGAAGCTTTCTTTGGATAGAGCAGTTTTGAAACACTCTTTTTGTGGAATCTGCAAGTGGATATTTGTCTAGCTTTGAGGATTTCGTTGGAAACGGGATTACATATAAAAAGCAGACAGCAGCATTCCCAGAATCTTCTTTGTGATGTTTGCATTCAAGTCCCAGAGTTGAACATTCCGTTTCATAGAGCAGGTTTGAAACACTCTTTTTATAGTATCTGGATGTGGACATTTGGAGCGCTTTCAGGCCTATGGTGAAAAAGGAAATATCTTCTCCTTAAAACAAGACAGAAGCATTCTCAGAATCTTATTTGTGATGTGCGCCCTCAGCTAACAGTGTTGAAGCTTTCTTTTGATAGAGCAGTTTTGAAACAGTCTTTTTGTAAAATCTGCAAGAGGATATTTGGATAGCTTTGAGGATTTCATTGGAAACGGGATTTTCTTCATATAAACTCAAGACAGAAGCATTCTCAGAAGCTTCATTGGGATGATTCAATTGAAGTCACAGTGTTGAAAAGTCCCTTTCATAGAGCAGGTTTGAAACACTCTTTTTGTAGTATCTGGAAGTGGACATTTGGAGCGCTCTCAGGACTACGGTGAAAAAGGAAATATCTTCCAATAAAAGCTACATAGAAGCAATGTCAGAAACTTTTTCATGATGTATCTACTCAGCTAACAGAGTTGAAACTTTCTTTTGAGAGAGCAGTTTTGAAACACTCTTTTTGTGGAATCTGGAAGTGGATATTTGCCTAGCTTTCAGGATTTCGTTGGAAACGGGATTACATATAAAAAGCAGACAGCAGCATTCCCAGTAACTTCTTTGTGATGTTTGCATTCAAGTCACAGAGTTGAACATTCCCTTTCATAGAGCAGGTTTGAAACACTCTTTTTGTAGCATCTGGATGTGGACATTTGGAGCGCTTTCAGGCCTATGGTGAAAAAGGGAATATCTTCCCCTGAAAACTAGACAGAAGCATTCTCAGAATCTTATTTTTGATGTGCGCCCTCAACTAACAGTGTTGAAGCTTTCTTTTGATAGAGCAGTTTTGAAACACTCTTTTTGTAAAATCTGCAAGAGGATATTTGGATAGCTTTGAGGATTTCGTTGGAAACGGGATTGTCTTCATATAAACTCTAGACAGAAGCATTCTCAGAAGCCTCATTGGGATGTTTCAATTGAAGTCACAGTGTTGAACAGTCCCTTTCATAGAGCAGGTTTGAAACACTCTTTTTGTAGTATCTGGATGTGGACATTTGGAGCGCTTTCAGGCCTACGGTGAAAAAGGAAATATCTTCCCCTGAAAACTAGACAGAAGCATTCTCAGAAACTTATTTGTGATGTGCGCCCTCAACTAACAGTGTTGAAGCTTTCTTTTGATAGAGCAGTTTTGAAACACTCTTTTTGTGGAATCTGCAAGTGGATATTTGTCTAGCTTTCAGGATTTCGTTGGAAACGGGATTACATATAAAAAGCAGACAGCAGCATTCCCAGAATCTTCTTTGTGATGTTTGCATTCAAGTCCCAGAGTTGAACATTCCCTTTCATAGAGCAGGTTTGAAACACTCTTTTTATAGTATCTGGATGTGGACATTTGGAGCGCTTTCAGGCCTATGGTGAAAACGGAAATATCTTCTCCTGAAAACTAGACAGAAGCATTCTCAGAATCTTATTTGTGATGTGCGCCCTCAGCTAACAGTGTTGAAGCTTTCTTTTGATAGAGCAGTTTTGAAACAGTCTTTTTGTAAAATCTGCAAGAGGATATTTGGATAGCTTTGAGGATTTCATTGGAAACGGGATTGTCTTCATATAAACTCTAGACAGAAGCATTCTCAGAAGCTTCATTGGGATGTTTCAATTGAAGTCACAGTGTTGAACAGTCCCTTTCATAGAGCAGGTTTGAAACACTCTTTTTGTAGTATCTGGAAGTGGACATTTGGAGCGCTCTCAGGACTACGGTGAAAAAGGAAATATCTTCCAATAAAAGCTACATAGAAGCAATGTCAGAAACTTTTTCATGATGTATCTACTCAGCTAACAGAGTTGAAACTTTATTTTGAGAGAGCAGTTTTGAAACACTCTTTTTGTGGAATCTGGAAGTGGATATTTGTCTAGCTTTGAAGATTTCGTTGGAAACGGGATTACATATAAAAAGCAGACAGCAGCATTCCCAGTAACTTCTTTGTGATGTTTGCATTCAAGTCACAGAGTTGAACATTCCCTCTCATAGAGCAGGTTTGAAACACTCTTTTTGTAGTATCTGGATGTGGACATTTGGAGCGCTTTCAGGCCTATGGTGAAAAAGGAAATATCTTCCCCTGAAAACTAGACAGAAGCATTCTCAGAATCTTATTTGTGATGTGCGCCCTCAACTAACAGTGTTGAAGCTTTCTTTTGATAGAGCAGTTTTGAAACACTCTTTTTGTAAAATCTGCAAGAGGATATTTGGATAGCTTTGAGGATTTCGTTGGAAACGGGATTGTCTTCATATAAACTCTAGACAGAAGCATTCACAGAAGCCTCATTCGGATGTTTCAATTGAAGTCACAGTGTTGAACAGTCCCTTTCATAGAGCAGGTTTGAAACACTCTTTTTGTAGTATCTGGATGTGGACATTTGGAGCGCTTTCAGGCCTATGGTGAAAAAGGAAATATCTTCCTCTGAAAACTAGACAGAAGCATTCTCAGAAACTTATTTGTGATGTGCGCCCTCAACTAACAGTGTTGAAGCTTTCTTTTCATAGAGCAGTTTTGAAAAACTCTTTTTGTGGAATCTGCAAGTGGATATTTGTCTAGCTTTGAGGATTTCGTTGGAAACGTGATTACATATAAAAAGCAGACAGCAGCATTCCCAGAAACTTCTTTGTGATGTTTGCATTCAAGTCACAGAGTTGAACATTCCCTTTCATAGAGCAGGTTTGAAACACTCTTTTTGTAGTATCTGGATGTGGACATTTGGAGCGCTTTCAGGCCTGTGGTGAAAAAGGAAATATCTTCCCCTGAAAACTAGACAGAAGCATTCTCAGAATCTTATTTGTGATGTGCGCCCTCAACTAACAGTGTTGAAGCTTTCTTTTGATAGAGCAGTTTTGAAACACTCTTTTTCTAAAATCTGCAAGAGGATATTTGGATAGCTTTGAGGATTTCGTTGGAAACGGGATTGTCTTCATATAAACTCTAGACAGAAGCATTCTCAGAAGCTTCATTGGGATGTTTCAATTGAAGTCACAGTGTTGAACAGTCCCTTTCATAGAGCAGGTTTGAAACACTCTTTTTGTAGTATCTGGAAGTGGACATTTGGAGAGATCTCAGGACTACGGTGAAAAAGGAAATAGCTTCCAATAAAAGCTAGATAGAAGCAATGTCAGAAACTTTTTCATGATGTGTCTACTCAGCTAACAGAGTTGAACCTTTCTTTTGAGAGAGCAGTTTTGAAACACTCTTTTTGTGGAATCTGCAAGTGGATATTTGTCTAGCTTTGAGGATTTCGTTGGAAACGGGATTACATATAAAAAGCAGACAGCAGCATTCCCAGAAACTTCTTTGTGATGTTTGCATTCAAGTCACAGAGTTGAACATTCCCTTTCATAGAGCAGGTTTGAAACACTCTTTTTGTAGTATCTGGATGTGGACATTTGGAGCGCTTTCAGGCCTATGGTGAAAAAGGAAATATCTTCCCCTGAAAACTAGACAGAAGCATTCTCAGAATCTTATTTGTGATGTGCGCCCTCAATTAACAGTGTTGAAGCTTTCTTTTGATAGAGCAGTTTTGAACCACTCTTTTTGTAAAATCTGCAAGAGGATATTTGGATAGCTTTGAGGATTTCGTTGGAAACGGGATTGTCTTCATATAAACTCTAGACAGAAGCATTCTCAGAAGCTTCATTGGGATGTTTCAATTGAAGTCACAGTGTTGAACAGTCCCTTTCATAGAGCAGGTTTGAAACACTCTTTTTGTAGTATCTGGATGTGGACATTTGGAGCGCTTTCAGGCCTATGGTGAAAAAGGAAATATCTTCCCCTGAAAACTAGACAGAAGCATTCTCAGAAACTTATTTGTGATGTGCGCCCTCAACTAACAGTGTTGAAGCTTTCTTTTGATAGAGCAGTTTTGAAACACTCTTTTTGTGGAATCTGCAAGTGGATATTTGTCTAGCTTTAAGGATTTCGTTGGAAAGGGGATTACATATAAAAAGCAGACAGCAGCATTCCCAGAATCTTCTTTGTGATGTTTGCATTCAAGTCCCAGAGTTGAACATTCCGTTTCATAGAGCAGGTTTGAAACACTCTTTTTATAGTATCTGGATGTGGACATTTGGAGCGCTTACAGGCCTATGGTGAAAAAGGAAATATCTTCTCCTGAAAACAAGACAGAAGCATTCTCAGAATCTTATTTGTGATGTGCGCCCTCAGCTAACAGTGTTGAAGCTTTCTTTTGATAGAGCAGTTTTGAAACAATCTTTTTGTAAAATCTGCAAGAGGATATTTGGATAGCTTTGAGGATTTCATTGGAAACGGGATTTTCTTCATATAAACTCAAGACAGAAGCATTCTCAGAAGCTTCATTGGGATGTTTCAATTGAAGTCACAGTGTTGAAAAGTCCCTTTCATAGAGCAGGTTTGAAACACTCTTTTTGTAGTATCTGGAAGTGGACATTTGGAGCGCTCTCAGGACTACGCTGAAAAAGGAAATATCTTCCAATAAAAGCTACATAGAAGCAATGTCAGAAACTTTTTCATGATGTATCTACTCAGCTAACAGAGTTGAAACTTTCTTTTGAGAGAGCAGTTTTGAAACACTCTTTTTGTGGAATCTGGAAGTGGATATTTGTCTAGCTTTGAGGATTTCGTTGGAAACGGGATTACATATAAAAAGCAGACAGCAGCATTCCCAGTAACTTCTTTGTGATGTTTGCATTCAAGTCACAGAGTTGAACATTCCCTTTCATAGAGCAGGTTTGAAACACTCTTTTTGTAGTATCTGGATGTGGACATTTGGAGCGCTTTCAGGCCTATGGTGAAAAAGGAAATATCTTCCCCTGAAAACTAGACAGAAGCATTCTCAGAATCTTATTTGTGATGTGCGCCCTCAACTAACAGTGTTGAAGCTTTCTTTTGATAGAGCAGTTTTGAAACACTCTTTTTGTAAAATCTGCAAGAGGATATTTGGATAGCTTTGAGGATTTCGTTGGAAACGGGATTGTCTTCATATAAACTCTAGACGAAGCATTCTCAGAAGCCTCATTGGGATGTTTCAATTGAAGTCACAGTGTTGAACAGTCCCTTTCATAGAGCAGGTTTGAAACACTCTTTTTGTAGTATCTGGATGTGGACATTTGGAGCGCTTTCAGGCCTATGGTGAAAAAGGAAATATCTTCCTCTGAAAACTAGACAGAAGCATTCTCAGAAACTTATTTGTGATGTGCGCCCTCAACTAACAGTGTTGAAGCTTTCTTTTGATAGAGCAGTTTTGAAACACTCTTTTTGTGGAATCTGCAAGTGGATATTTGTCTAGCTTTGAGGATTTCGTTGGAAACGGGATTACATATAAAAAGCAGACAGCAGCATTCCCAGAAACTTCTTTGTGATGTTTGCATTCAAGTCACAGAGTTGAACATTCCCTTTCATAGAGCAGGTTTGAAACACTCTTTTTGTAGTATCTGGATGTGGACATTTGGAGCGCTTTCAGGCCTATGGTGAAAAAGGAAATATCTTCCCCTGAAAACTAGACAGAAGCATTCTCAGAATCTTATTTGTGATGTGCGCCCTCAACTAACAGTGCTGAAGCTTTCTTTTGATAGAGCAGTTTTGAAACACTCTTTTTGTAAAATCTGCAAGAGGATATTTGGATAGCTTTGAGGATTTCGTTGGAAACGGGATTGTCTTCATATAAACTCTAGACAGAAGCATTCTCAGAAGCTTCATTGGGATGTTTCAATTGAAGTCACAGTGTTGAACAGTCCCTTTCATAGAGCAGGTTTGAAACACTCTTTTTGTAGTATCTGGAAGTGGACATTTGGAGAGATCTCAGGACTACGGTGAAAAAGGAAATATCTTCCAATAAAAGCTAGATAGAAGAAAAGTCAGAAACTTTTTCATGATGTATCTACTCAGCTAACAGAGTTGAACCTTTCTTTTGAGAGAGCAGTTTTGAAACACTGTTTTTGTGGAATCTGCAAGTGGATATTTGTCTACCTTTGAGGATTTCGTTGGAAACGGGATTACATATAAAAAGCAGACAGCAGCATTACCAGAAACTTCTTTGTGATGTTGCATTCAAGTCACAGAGTTGAACAGTCCCTTTCATAGAGCAGGTTTGAAACACTCTTTTTGTAGTATCTGGATGTGGACATTTGGAGCGCTTTCAGGCCTATGGTGAAAAAGGAAATATCTTCCTCTGAAAACTAGACAGAAGCATTCTCAGCAACTCATTTGTGATGTGCGCCCTCAACTAACAGTGTTGAAGCTTTCTTTTGATAGAGCAGTTTTGAAACACTCTTTTTGTGGAATCTGCAAGTGGATATTTGTCTAGCTTTGAGGATTTCGTTGGAAACGGGATTACATATAAAAAGCAGACAGCAGCATTCCCAGAAACTTCTTTGTGATGTTTGCATTCAAGTCACAGAGTTGAACATTCCCTTTCATAGAGCAGGTTTGAAACACTCTTTTTGTAGTATCTGGATGTGGACATTTGGAGCGCTTTCAGGCCTATGGTGAAAAAGGAAATATCTTCCCCTGAAAACTAGACAGAAGCATTCTCAGAATCTTATTTGTGATGTCCGCCCTCAACTAACAGTGTTGAAGCTTTCTTTTGATAGAGCAGTTTTGAAACACTCTTTTTGTAAAATCTGCAAGAGGATATTTGGATAGCTTTGAGGATTTCGTTGGAAACGGGATTGTCTTCATATAAACTCTAGACAGAAACATTCTCAGAAGCTTCATTGGGATGTTTCAATTGAAGTCACAGTGTTGAAGAGTCCCTTTCATAGAGCAGGTTTGAAACACTCTTTTTGTAGTATCTGGAAGTGGACATTTGGATCGCTCTCAGGACTGCGGTGAAAAAGGAAGTATCTTCCAATAAAAGCTAGAGAGAAGCAATGTCAGAAACTTTTTCATGATGTATCTAGTCAGCTAACAGAGTTGAACCTTTCTTTTGAGAGAGCAGTTTTGAAACACTCCTTTTGTGGAATATGCAAGTGGATATTTGTCTAGCTTTGAAGATTTCGTTGGAAACGGGATTACATATAAAAAGCAGACAGCAGCATTCCCAGAAACTTCTTTGTGATGTTTGCATTCAACTCACAGAGTTGAACATTCCCTTTCATAGAGCAGGTTTGAAACACTCTTTTTGTAGTATCTGGATGTGGACATTTGGAGCGCTTTCAGGCCTATGGTGAAAAAGGAAATATCTTCCCCTGAAAACTAGACAGAAGCATTCTCAGAATCTTATTTGTGATGTGCGCCCTCAACTAACAGTGTAGAAGCTTTCTTTTGATAGAGCAGTTTTGAAACACTCTTTTTGTAAAATCTGCAAGAGGATATTTGGTTAGCTTTGAGGATTTCGTTGGAAACGGGATTGTCTTCATATAAACTCTAGACAGAAGCATTCTCAGAAGCTTCATTGGGATGTTTCAATTGAAGTCACAGTGTTGAACAGTCACTTTCATAGAGCAGGTTTGAAACACTCTTTTTGTAGTATCTGGATGTGGACATTTGGAGCGCTTTCAGGCCTATGGTGAAAAAGGAAATATCTTCCCCTGAAAACTAGACAGAAGCATTCTCAGAAACTTATTTGTGATGTGCGCCCTCAACTAACAGTGTTGAAGTTTTCTTTTGATAGAGCATTTTTGAAACACTCTTTTTGTGGAATCTGCAAGTGGATATTTGTCTAGCTTTGAGGATTTCGTTGGAAACGGGATTACATATAAAAAGCAGACAGCAGCATTCCCAGAATCTTCTTTGTGATGTTTGCATTCAAGTCACAGAGTTGAACATTCCCTTTCATAGAGCAGGTTTGAAACACTCTTTTTGTAGTATCTGTATGTGGACATTTGGAGCGCTTTCAGGCCTATGGTGAAAAAGGAAATATCTTCCCCTGAAAACTAGACAGAAGCATTCTCAGAAACTTATTTGTGATGTGCGCCCTCAACTAACAGTGTTGAAGCTTTCTTTTGATAGAGCAGTTTTGAAACACTCTTTTTGTAAAATCTGCAAGAGGATATTTGGATAGCTTTGAGGATTTCGTTGGAAACGGGATTGTCTTCATATAAACTCTAGACAGAAGCATTCTCAGAAGCTTCATTGGGATGTTTCAATTGAAGTCACAGTGTTGAACAGTTCCTTTCATAGAGCAGGTTTGAAACACTCTTTTTGTAGTATCTGGAAGTGGACATTTGGAGCGCTCTCAGGACTACGGTGAAAAAGGAAATATCTTCCAATAAAAGCTACATAGAAGCAAGGTCAGAAACTTTTTCATGATGTATCTACTCAGCTAACAGAGTTGAACCTTTCCTTTGAGGGAGCAGTTTTGAAACACTCTTTTTGTGGAATCTGCAAGTGGATATTTGTCTAGCTTTGAGGATTTCGTTGGAAACGGGATTACATATAAAAAGCAGACAGCAGCATTCCCAGTAACTTCTTTGTGATGTTTGCATTCAAGTCACAGAGTTGAACATTCCCTTTCATAGAGCAGGTTTGAAACACTCTTTTTGTAGTATCTGGATGTGGACATTTGGAGCGCTTTCAGGCCTATGGTGAAAAAGGAAATATCTTCCCCTGAAAACTAGACAGAAGCATTCTCAGAAACTTATTTGTGATGTGCGCCCTCAACTAACAGTGTTGAACCTTTCTTTTGATAGAGCAGTTTTGAAACACACTTTTTGTAATATCTGCAAGAGGATATTTGGATAGCTTTGAGGATTTCGTTGGAAACGGGATTGTCTTCATATAAACTCTAGACAGAAGCATTCTCAGAAGCTTCTTGGGATGTTTCAATTGAAGTCACAGTGTTGAACAGTCCCTTTCATAGAGCAGGTTTGAAACACTCTTTTTGTAGTATCTGGAAGTGGACATTTGGAGCGCTCTCAGGACTGCGGTGAAAAAGGAAATATCTTCCAATAAAAGCTAGATAGAAGCAATGTCAGAAACTTTTTCATGATCTATCTACTCAGCTAACAGAGTTGAACCTTTCTTTTGAGAGAGCAGTTTTGAAACACTCTTTTTGTGGAATCTGCAAGTGGATATTTGTCTAGCTTTGAGGATTGCGTTGGAAACGGGATTACATATAAAAAGCAGACAGCAGCATTCCCAGTAACTTCTTTGTGATGTTTGCATTCAAGTCACAGAGTTGAACATTCCCTTTCATAGAGCAGGTTTGAAACACTCTTTTTGTAGTATCTGGATGTGGACATTTGGAGCGCTTTCAGGCCTATGGTGAAAAAGGAAATATCTTCCCCTGAAAACTAGACAGAAGCATTCTCAGAAACTTATTTGTGATGTGCGCCCTCAACTAACAGTGTTGAAGCTTTCTTTTGATAGAGCAGTTTTGAAACACTCTTTTTGTAAAATCTGCAAGAGGATATTTGGATAGCTTTGAGGATTTCGTTGGAAACGGGATTGTCTTCATATAAACTCTAGACAGAAGCATTCTCAGAAGCTTCATTGGGATGTTTCAATTGAAGTCACAGTGTTGAACAGTTCCTTTCATAGAGCAGGTTTGAAACACTCTTTTTGTAGTATCTGGAAGTGGACATTTGGAGCGCTCTCAGGACTACGGTGAAAAAGGAAATATCTTCCAATAAAAGCTAGATAGAAGCAATGTCAGAAACTTTTTCATGATGTATCTACTCAGCTAACAGAGTTGAACCTTTCTTTTGAGAGAGCAGTTTTGAAACACTCTTTTTGTGGAATCTGCAAGTGGATATTTGTCTACCTTTGAGGATTTCGTTGGAAACGGGATTATATATAGAAAGCAGACAGCAGCATTCCCAGAATCTTCTTTGTGATGTTTGCATTCAAGTCACAGAGTTGAACATTCCCTTTCATAGAGCAGGTTTGAAACACTCTTTTTGTAGTATCTGGATGTGGACATTTGGAGCGCTTTCAGGCCTATGGTGAAAAAGGAAATATCTTCCCCTGAAAACTAGACAGAAGCATTCTCAGAAACTTATTTGTGATGTGCGCCCTCAACTAACAGTGTTGAACCTTTCTTTTGATAGAGCAGTTTTGAAACACTCTTTTTGTAATATCTGCAAGAGTATATTTGGATAGCTTTGAGGATTTCGTTGGAAACGGGATTGTCTTCATATAAACTCTAGACAGAAGCATTCTCAGAAGCTTCATTGGGATGTTTCAATTGAAGTCACAGTTTTGAACAGTCCCTTTCATAGAGCAGGTTTGAAACACTCTTTTTGTAGTATCTGCAAGTGGACATTTGGAGAGATCTCAGGAATACTGTGACAAAGGAAATATCTTCCAATAAAAGCTAGATAGAAGCAATGTCAGAAAATTTTTCATGATGTATCTACTCAGCTAACAGAGTTGAAACTTTCTTTTGAGAGAGCAGTTTTGAAACACTCTTTTTGTGGAATCTGCAAGTGGATATTTGTCTAGATTTGAGGATTTCGTTGGAAACGGGATTACATATAAAAAGCAGACAGCAGCATTCCCAGAAACTTCTTTGTGAAGTTTGCATTCAAGTCACAGAGTTGAACATTCCCTTTCATAGAGCAGGTTTGAAACACTCTTTTTGTAGTATCTGTATGTGGACATTTGGAGCGCTTTCAGGCCTATGGTGAAAAAGGAAATATCTTCCCCTGAAAACTAGACAGAAGCATTCTCAGAATCTTATTTGTGATGTGCGCCCTCAACTAACAGTGTTGAAGCTTTCTTTTGATAGAGCAGTTTTGAAACACTCTTTTTGTAAAATCTGCAAGAGGATATTTGGATAGCTTTGAGGATTTCATTGCAAACGGGATTGTCTTCATATAAACTCTAGACAGAAGCATTCTCAGAAGCTTCATTGGGATGTTTCAATTGAAGTCACAGTGTTGAACAGTCCCTTTCATAGAGCAGGTTTGAAACACTCTTTTTGTAGTATCTGGAAGTGGACATTTGGAGCGCTCTCAGGACTGCGGTGAAAAAGGAAATATCTTCCAATAAAAGCTAGATAGAAGCAATGTCAGAAACTTTTTCATGATGTATCTACTCAGCTAACAGAGTTGAACCTTTCTTTTGAGAGAGCAGTTTTGAAACACTCTTTTTGTGGAATCTGCAAGTGGATATTTGTCTAGCTTTGAGGATTTCGTTGGAAACGGGATTACATATAAAAAGCAGACAGCAGCATTCCCAGAAACTTCTTTGTGATGTTTGCATTCAAGTCACAGAGTTGAACATTCCCTTTCATAGAGCAGGTTTGAAACACTCTTTTTGTAGTATCTGGATGTGGACATTTGGAGCGCTTTCAGGCCTATGGTGAAAAAGGAAATATCTTCCCCTGAAAACTAGACAGAAGCATTCTCAGAAACTTATTTGTGATGTGCGCCCTCAACTAACAGTGTTGAAGCTTTCTTTTGATAGAGCAGTTTTGAAACACTCTTTTTGTAAAATCTGCAAGAGGATATTTGGATAGCTTTGAGGATTTCGTTGGAAACGGGATTGTCTTCATATAAACTCTAGACAGAAGCATTCTCAGAAGCTTCATTGGGATGTTTCAATTGAAGTCACAGTGTTGAACAGTTCCTTTCATAGAGCAGGTTTGAAACACTCTTTTTGTAGTATCTGGAAGTGGACATTTGGAGCGCTCTCAGGACTACGGTGAAAAAGGAAATATCTTCCAATAAAAGCTAGATAGAAGCAATGTCAGAAACTTTTTCATGATGTGTCTACTCAGCTAACAGAGTTGAACCTTTCTTTTGAGAGAGCAGTTTTGAAACACTCTTTTTGTGGAATCTGCAAGTGGATATTTGTCTACCTTTGAGGATTTCGTTGGAAACGGGATTATATATAGAAAGCAGACAGCAGCATTCCCAGAATCTTCTTTGTGATGTTTGCATTCAAGTCACAGAGTTGAACATTCCCTTTCATAGAGCAGGTTTGAAACACTCTTTTTGTAGTATCTGGATGTGGACATTTGGAGCGCTTTCAGGCCTATGGTGAAAAAGGAAATATCTTCCCCTGAAAACTAGACAGAAGCATTCTCAGAAACTTATTTGTGATGTGCGCCCTCAACTAACAGTGTTGAACCTTTCTTTTGATAGAGCAGTTTTGAAACACTCTTTTTGTAATATCTGCAAGAGTATATTTGGATAGCTTTGAGGATTTCGTTGGAAACGGGATTGTCTTCATATAAACTCTAGACAGAAGCATTCTCAGAAGCTTCATTGGGATGTTTCAATTGAAGTCACAGTTTTGAACAGTCCCTTTCATAGAGCAGGTTTGAAACACTCTTTTTGTAGTATCTGCAAGTGGACATTTGGAGAGATCTCAGGAATACGGTGACAAAGGAAATATCTTCCAATAAAAGCTAGATAGAAGCAATGTCAGAAAATTTTTCATGATGTATCTACTCAGCTAACAGAGTTGAAACTTTCTTTTGAGAGAGCAGTTTTGAAACACTCTTTTTGTGGAATCTGCAAGTGGATATTTGTCTAGATTTGAGGATTTCGTTGGAAACGGGATTACATATAAAAAGCAGACAGCAGCATTCCCAGAAACTTCTTTGTGAAGTTTGCATTCAAGTCACAGAGTTGAACATTCCCTTTCATAGAGCAGGTTTGAAACACTCTTTTTGTAGTATCTGTATGTGGACATTTGGAGCGCTTTCAGGCCTATGGTGAAAAAGGAAATATCTTCCCCTGAAAACTAGACAGAAGCATTCTCAGAATCTTATTTGTGATGTGCGCCCTCAACTAACAGTGTTGAAGCTTTCTTTTGATAGAGCAGTTTTGAAACACTCTTTTTGTAAAATCTGCAAGAGGATATTTGGATAGCTTTGAGGATTTCATTGCAAACGGGATTGTCTTCATATAAACTCTAGACAGAAGCATTCTCAGAAGCTTCATTGGGATGTTTCAATTGAAGTCACAGTGTTGAACAGTCCCTTTCATAGAGCAGGTTTGAAACACTCTTTTGGTAGTATCTGGAAGTGGACATTTGGAGCGCTCTCAGGACTGCGGTGAAAAAGGAAATATCTTCCAATAAAAGCTAGATAGAAGCAATGTCAGAAACTTTTTCATGATGTATCTACTCAGCTAACAGAGTTGAACCTTTCTTTTGAGAGAGCAGTTTTGAAACACTCTTTTTGTGGAATCTGCAAGTGGATATTTGTCTAGCTTTGAGGATTTCGTTGGAAACGGGATTACATATAAAAAGCAGACAGCAGCATTCCCAGAAACTTCTTTGTGATGTTTGCATTCAAGTCACAGAGTTGAACATTCCCTTTCATAGAGCAGGTTTGAAACTCTCTTTTTGTAGTATCTCTATGTGGACATTTGGAGCGCTTTCAGTCCTATGGTGAAAAAGGAAATATCTTCCCCTGAAAACTAGACAGAAGCATTCTCAGAAACTTATTTGTGATGTGCGCCCTCAACTAACAGTGTTGAAGCTTTCTTTTGATAGAGCAGTTTTGAAACACTCTTTTTGTAAAATCTGCAAGAGGATATTTGGATAGCTTTGAGGATTTCGTTGGAAACGGGATTGTCTTCATATAAAATCTAGACAGAAGCATTCTCAGAAGCTTCATTGGGATGTTTCAATTGAAGTCACAGTGTTGAACAGTTCCTTTCATAGAGCAGGTTTGAAACACTCTTTTTGTAGTATCTGGAAGTGGACATTTAGAGCGCTCTCAGGACTACGGTGAAAAAGGAAATATCTTCCAATAAAAGCTACATAGAAGCAATGTCAGAAACTTTTTCATGATGTATCTACTCAGCTAACAGAGTTGAACCTTTCCTTTGAGGGAGCAGTTTTGAAACACTCTTTTTGTGGAATCTGCAAGTGGATATTTGTCTAGCTTTGAGGATTTCGTTGGAAACGGGATTACATATAAAAAGCAGACAGCAGCATTCCCAGTAACTTCTTTCTGATGTTTGCATTCAAGTCACAGAGTTGAACATTCCCTTTCATAGAGCAGGTTTGAAACACTCTTTTTGTAGTATCTGGATGTGGACATTTGGAGCGCTCTCAGGCCTATGGTGAAAAAGGAAATATCTTCCCCTGAAAACTAGACAGAAGCATTCTCAGAAACTTATTTGTGATGTGCGCCCTCAACTAACAGTGTTGAACCTTTCTTTTGATAGAGCAGTTTTGAAACACTCTTTTTGTAATATCAGCAAGAGGATATTTGGATAGCTTTGAGGATTTCGTTGGAAACGGGATTGTCTTCATATAAACTCTAGACAGAAGCATTCTCAGAAGCTTCATTGGGATGTTTCAATTGAAGTCACAGTGTTGAACAGTCCCTTTCATAGAGCAGGTTTGAAACACCCTTTTTGTAGTATCTGGAAGTGGACATTTGGAGAGATCTCAGGAATACGGTGACAAAGGAAATATCTTCCAATAAAAGCTAGATAGAAGCAATGTCAGAAAATTTTTCATGATGTATCTACTCAGCTAACAGAGTTGAACATTTCTTTTGAGAGAGCAGTTTTGAAACACTCTTTTTGTGGAATCTGCAAGTGGATATTTGTCTAGCTTTGAGGATTTCGTTGGAAACGGGATTACATATAAAAAGCAGACAGCAGCATTCCCAGTAACTTCTTTGTGATGTTTGCATTCAAGTCACAGAGTTGAACATTCCCTTTCATAGAGCAGGTTTGAAACACTCTTTTTGTAGTATCTGTATGTGGACATTTGGAGCGCTTTCAGGCCTATGGTGAAAAAGGAAATATCTTCCCCTGAAAACTAGACAGAAGCATTCTCAGAATCTTATTTGTGATGTGCGCCCTCAACTAGCAATGTTGAAGCTTTCTTTTGATAGAGCAGTTTTGAAACACTCTTTTTGTAAAATCTGCAAGAGGATATTTGGATAGCTTTGAGGATTTCGTTGGAAACGGGATTGTCTTCATATAAACTCTAGACAGAAGCATTCTCAGAAGCTTCATTGGGATGTTTCAATTGAAGTCACAGTGTTGAACAGTCCCTTTCATAGAGCAGGTTTGAAACACTCTTTTTGTAGTATCTGGAAGTGGACATTTGGAGCGCTCTCAGGACTGCGGTGAAAAAGGAAATATCTTCCAATAAAAGCTAGATAGAAGCAATGTCAGAAACTTTTTCATGATCTATCTACTCAGCTAACAGAGTTGAACCTTTCTTTTGAGAGAGCAGTTTTGAAACACTCTTTTTGTGGAATCTGCAAGTGGATATTTGTCTAGCTTTGAGGATTTCGTTGGAAACGGGATTACATATAAAAAGCAGACAGCAGCATTCCCAGAAACTTCTTTGTGATGTTTGCATTCAAGTCACAGAGTTGAACATTCCCTTTCATAGAGCAGGTTTGAAACACTCTTTTTGTAGTATCTGTATGTGGACATTTGGAGCGCTTTCAGGCCTATGGTGAAAAAGGAAATATCTTCCCCTGAAAACTAGACAGAAGCATTCTCAGAAACTTATTTGTGATGTGCGCCCTCAACTAACAGTGTTGAAGCTTTCTTTTGATAGAGCAGTTTTGAAACACTCTTTTTGTAAAATCTGCAAGAGGATATTTGGATAGCTTTCAGGATTTCGTTGGAAACGGGATTGTCTTCATATAAACTCTAGACAGAAGCATTCTCAGAAGCTTCATTGGGATGTTTCAATTGAAGTCACAGTGTTGAACAGTTCCTTTCATAGAGCAGGTTTGAAACACTCTTTTTGTAGTATCTGGAAGTGGACATTTGGAGCGCTCTCAGGACTACGGTGAAAAAGGAAATATCTTCCAATAAAAGCTACATAGAAGCAATGTCAGAAACTTTTTCATGATGTATCTACTCAGCTAACAGAGTTGAACCTTTCCTTTGAGGGAGCAGTTTTGAAACACTCTTTTTGTGGAATCTGCAAGTGGATATTTGTCTAGCTTTGAGGATTTCGTTGGAAACGGGATTACATATAAAAAGCAGACAGCAGCATTCCCAGTAACTTCTTTGTGATGTTTGCATTCAAGTCACAGAGTTGAACATTCCCTTTCATAGAGCAGGTTTGAAACACTCTTTTTGTAGTATCTGGATGTGGACATTTGGAGCGCTTTCAGGCCTATGGTGAAAAAGGAAATATCTTCCCCTGAAAACTAGACAGAAGCATTCTCAGAAACTTATTTGTGATGTGCGCCCTCAACTAACAGTGTTGAACCTTTCTTTTGATAGAGCAGTTTTGAAACACTCTTTTTGTAATATCTGCAAGAGGATATTTGGATAGCTTTGAGGATTTCGTTGGAAACGGGATTGTCTTCATATAAACTCTAGACAGAAGCATTCTCAGAAGCTTCATTGGGATGTTTCAATTGAAGTCACAGTGTTGAACAGTCCCTTTCATAGAGCAGGTTTGAAACACCCTTTTTGTAGTATCTGGAAGTGGACATTTGGAGCGCTCTCAGGACTACGGTGAAAAAGGAAATATCTTCCAATAAAGGCTACATAGAAGCAATATCAGAAACTTTTTCATGATGTATCTACTCAGCTAACAGAGTTGAACCTTTCTTTTGAGAGAGCAGTTTTGAAACACTCTTTTTGTGGAATCTGCAAGTGGATATTTGTCTAGCTTTGAGGATTTCGTTGGAAACGGGATTACATATAAAAAGCAGACAGCAGCATTCCCAGAAATTTCTTTGTGATGTTTGCATTCAAGTCACAGAGTTGAACATTCCCTTTCATAGAGCAGGTTTGAAACACTCTTTTTGTAGTATCTGGATGTGGACATTTGGAGCGCTTTCAGGCCAATGGTGAAAAAGGAAATATCTTCCCCTGAAAACTAGACAGAAGCATTCTCAGAATCTTATTTGTGATGTGCGCCCTCAACTAACAGTGTTGAAGCTTTCTTTTGATAGAGCAGTTTTGAAACACTCTTTTTGTAAAATCTGCAAGAGGATATTTGGATAGCTTTGAGGATTTCGTTGGAAACGGGATTGTCTTCATATAAACTCTAGACAGAAGCATTCTCAGAAGCTTCATTGGGATGTTTCAATTGAAGTCACAGTGTTGAACAGTCCCTTTCATAGAGCAGGTTTGAAACACTCTTTTTGTAGTATCTGGAAGTGGACATTTGGAGAGATCTCAGGAATACAGTGATAAACGAAATATCTTCCAATAAAAGCTAGATAGAAGCAATGTCAGAAACTTTTTCATGATGTATCTACTCAGCTAACAGAGTTGAACCTTTCTTTTGAGAGAGCAGTTTTGAAACACTCTTTTTGTGGAATCTGCAAGTGGATATTTGTCTAGCTTTGAGGATTTCGTTGGAAACGGGATTACATATAAAAAGCAGACAGCAGCATTCCCAGAAACTTCTTTGTGATGTTTGCATTCAAGTCACAGAGTTGAACATTTCCTTTCATAGAGCAGGTTTGAAACACTCTTTTTGTAGTATCTGGATGTGGACATTTGGAGCGCTTTCAGGCCTATGGTGAAAAAGGAAATATCTTCCCCTGAAAACTAGACAGAAGCATTCTCAGAATCTTATTTGTGATGTGCGCCCTCAACTAACAGTGTTGAAGCTTTCTTTTGATAGAGCAGTTTTGAAACACTCTTTTTGTAAAATCTGCAAGAGGATATTTGGATAGCTTTGAGGATTTCGTTGGAAACGGGATTGTCTTCATATAAACTCTAGACAGAAGCATTCTCAGAAGCTTCATTGGGATGTTTCAATTGAAGTCACAGTGTTGAACAGTCCCTTTCATAGAGCAGGTTTGAAACACTCTTTTTGTAGTATCTGGATGTGGACATTTGGAGCGCTTTCAGGCCTATGGTGAAAAACGAAATATCTTCCTCTGAAAACTAGACAGAAGCATTCTCAGAAACTTATTTGTGATGTGCGCCCTCAACTAACAGTGTTGAAGCTTTCTTTTGATAGAGCAGTTTTGAAACACTCTTTTTATGGAATCTGCAAGTGGATATTTGTCTAGCTTTGAGGATTTCGTTGGAAACTTGATTACATATAAAAAGCAGACAGCAGCATTCCCAGAATCTTCTTTGTGATGTTTGCATTCAAGTCCCAGAGTTGAACATTCCGTTTCATAGAGCAGGTTTGAAACACTCTTTTTATAGTATCTGGATGTGGACATTTGGAGCGCTTTCAGGCCTATGGTGAAAAAGGAAATATCTTCTCCTGAAAACAAGACAGAAGCATTCTCAGAATCTTATTTGTGATGTGCGCCCTCAGCTAACAGTGTTGAAGCTTTCTATTGATAGAGCAGTTTTGAAACACTCTTTTCGTAAAATCTGCAAGAGGATATTTGGATAGCTTTGAGGATTTCATTGGAAACGGGATTTTCTTCATATAAACTCAAGACAGAAGCATTCTCAGAAGCTTCATTGGGATGTTTCAATTGAAGTCACAGTGTTGAAAAGTCCCTTTCATAGAGCAGGTTTGAAACACTCTTTTTGTAGTATCTGGAAGTGGACATTTGGAGAGATCTCAGGACTACGGTGAAAAAGGAAATATCTTCCAATAAAAGCTACATAGAAGCAATGTCAGAAACTTTTTCATGATGTATCTACTCAGCTAACAGAGTTGAAACTTTCTTTTGAGAGAGCAGTTTTGAAACACTCTTTTTGTGGAATCTGCAAGTGGATATTTGTCTAGCTTTGAGGATTTCGTTGGAAACGGGATTACATATAAAAAGCAGACAGCAGCATTCCCAGAAACTTCTTTGTGATGTTTGCATTCAAGTCACAGAGTTGAACATTCCCTTTCATAGAGCAGGTTTGAAACACTCTTTTTGTAGTATCTGGATGTGGACATTTTGAGCGCTTTCAGGCATATGGTGAAAAAGGAAATATCTTCCCATGAAAACTAGACAGAAGCATTCTCAGAATCTTATTTGTGATGTACGCCCTCAACTAACAGTGCTGAAGCTTTCTTTTGATAGAGCAGTTTTGAAACACTCTTTTTGTAAAATCTGCAAGAGGATATTTGCATAGCTTTGAGGATTTCGTTGGAAACGGGATTGTCTTCATATAAACTCTAGACAGAAGCATTCTCAGAAGCTTCATTGGGATGTTTCAATTGAAGTCACAGTGTTGAACAGTCCCTTTCATAGAGCAGGTTTGAAACACTCTTTTTGTAGTATCTGGAAGTGGACATTTGGAGAGATCTCAGGACTACGGTGAAAAAGGAAATATCTTCCAATAAAAGCTAGATAGAAGAAATGTCAGAAACTTTTTCATGATGTATCTACTCAGCTAACAGAGTTGAACCTTTCTTTTGAGAGAGCAGTTTTGAAACACTCTTTTTGTGGAATCTGCAAGTGGATATTTGTCTAGCTTTGAGGATTTCGTTGGAAACGGGATTACATATAAAAAGCAGAGAGCAGCATTCCCAGAAACTTCTTTGTGATGTTGCATTCAAGTCACAGAGTTGAACATTCCCTTTCATAGAGCAGGTTTGAAACACTCTTTTTGTAGTATCTGGATGTGGACATTTGGAGCGCTTTCAGGCCTATGGTGAAAAAGGAAATATCTTCCCCTGAAAACTAGACAGAAGCATTCTCAGAATCTTATTTGTGATGTGCGCCCTCAACTAACAGTGTTGAAGCTTTCTTTTGATAGAGCAGTTTTGAAACACTCTTTTTGTAAAATCTGCAAGAGGATATTTGGATAGCTTTGAGGATTTCGTTGGAAACGGGATTGTCTTCATATAAACTCTAGACAGAAGCATTCTCAGAAGCTTCATTGGGATGTTTCAATTGAAGTCACAGTGTTGAACAGTCCCTTTCATAGAGCAGGTTTGAAACACTCTTTTTGTAGTATCTGGATGTGGACATTTGGAGCGCTTTCAGGCCTATGGTGAAAAAGGAAATATCTTCCCCTGAAAACTAGACAGAAGCATTCTCAGAAACTTATTTGTGATGTGCGCCCTCAACTAACAGTGTTGAAGCTTTCTTTTGATAGAGCAGTTTTGAAACACTCTTTTTGTGGAATCTGCAAGTGGATATTTGTCTAGCTTTGAGGATTTCGTTGGAAACGGGATTACATATAAAAAGCAGACAGCAGCATTCCCAGAATCTTCTTTGTGATGTTTGCATTCAAGTCCCAGAGTTGAACATTCCGTTTCATAGAGCAGGTTTGAAACACTCTTTTTATAGTATCTGGATGTGGACATTTGGAGCGCTTTCAGGTCTATGGTGAAAAAGGAAATATCTTCTCCTGAAAACAAGACAGAAGCATTTTCAGAATCTTATTTGTGATGTGCGCCCTCAGCTAACAGTGTTGAAGCTTTCTTTTGATAGAGCAGTTTTTAAACAGTCTTTTTGTAAAATCTGCAAGAGGATATTTGGATAGCTTTGGGGATTTCATTGGAAACGGGATTTTCTTCATATAAACTCAAGACAGAAGCATTCTCAGAAGCTTCATTGGGATGTTTCAATTGAAGTCACAGTGTTGAAAAGTCCCTTTCATAGAGCAGGTTTGAAACACTCTTTTTGTAGTATCTGGAAGTGGACATTTGGAGCGCTCTCAGGACTACGGTGAAAAAGGAAATATCTTCCAATAAAAGCTAGATAGAAGCAATGTCAGAAACTTTTTCATGATGTATCTACTCAGCTAACAGAGTTGAAACTTTCTTTTGAGAGAGCAGTTTTGAAACACTCTTTTTGTGGAATCTGGAAGTGGATATTTGTCTAGCTTTGAGGATTTCGTTGGAAACGGGATTAAATATAAAAAGCAGACAGCAGCATTCCCAGTAACTTCTTTGTGATGTTTGCATTCAAGTCACAGAGTTGAACGTTCCCTTTCATAGAGCAGGTTTGAAACACTCTTTTTGTAGTATCTGGATGTGGACATTTGGAACGCTTTCAGGCCTATGGTGAAAAAGGAAATATCTTCCCCTGAAAACTAGACAGAAGCATTCTCAGAAACTTATTTGTGATGTGCGCCCTCAACTAACAGTGTTGAAGCTTTCTTTTGATAGAGCAGTTTTGAAACACTCTTTTTGTGGAATCTGCAAGTGGATATTTGTCTAGCTTTGAGGATTTCGTTGGAAACGGGATTACATATAAAAAGCAGACAGCAGCATTCCCAGAATCTTCTTTGTGATGTTTGCATTCAAGTCCCAGAGTTGAACATTCCGTTTCATAGAGCAGGTTTGAAACACTCTTTTTATAGTATCTGGATGTGGACATTTGGAGCGCTTTCAGGCCTATGGTGAAAAAGGAAATATCTTCTCCTGAAAACAAGACAGAAGCATTCTCAGAATCTTATTTGTGATGTGCGCCCTCAGCTAACAGTGTTGAAGCTTTCTTTTGATAGAGCAGTTTTGAAACAGTCTTTTTGTAAAATCTGCAAGAGGATATTTGGATAGCTTTGAGGATTTCATTGGAAACGGGATTTTCTTCATATAAACTCAAGACAGAAGCATTCTCAGAAGCTTCATTGGGATGTTTCAATTGAAGTCACAGTGTTGAAAAGTCCCTTTCATAGAGCAGGTTTGAAACACTCTTTTTGTAGTATCTGGAAGTGGACATTGGGAGCGCTCTCAGGACTACGGTGAAAAAGGAAATATCTTCCAATAAAAGCTACATAGAAGAAATGTCAGAAACATTTTCATGATGTATCTACTCAGCTAACAGAGTTGAAACTTTCTTTTGAGAGAGCAGTTTTGAAACACTCTTTTTGTGGAATCTGCAAGTGGATATTTGTCTAGCTTTGAGGATTTCGTTGGAAACGGGATTACATATAAAAAGCAGACAGCAGCATTCCCAGAATCTTCTTTTTGATGTTTGCATTCAAGTCCCAGAGTTGAACATTCTGTTTCATAGAGCAGGTTTGAAACACTCTTTTTATAGTATCTGGATGTGGACATTTGGAGCGCTTTCAGGCCTATGGTGAAAAAGGAAATATCTTCTCCTGAAAACAAGACAGAAGCATTCTCAGAATCTTATTTGTGATGTGCGCCCTCAGCTAACAGTGTTGAAGCTTTCTTTTGATAGAGCAGTTTTGAAACAGTCTTTTTGTAAAATCTGCAAGAGGATATTTGGATAGCTTTGGGGATTTCATTGGAAACGGGATTTTCTTCATATAAACTCAAGACAGAAGCATTCTCAGAAGCTTCATTGGGATGTTTCAATTGAAGTCACAGTGTTGAAAAGTCCCTTTCATAGAGCAGGTTTGAAACACTCTTTTTGTAGTATCTGGAAGTGGACATTTGGAGCGCTCTCAGGACTACGGTGAAAAAGGAAATATCTTCCAATAAAAGCTAGATAGAAGCAATGTCAGAAACTTTTTCATGATGTATCTACTCAGCTAACAGAGTTGAAACTTTCTTTTGAGAGAGCAGTTTTGAAACACTCTTTTTGTGGAATCTGGAAGTGGATATTTGTCTAGCTTTGAGGATTTCGTTGGAAACGGGATTAAATATAAAAAGCAGACAGCAGCATTCCCAGTAACTTCTTTGTGATGTTTGCATTCAAGTCACAGAGTTGAACGTTCCCTTTCATAGAGCAGGTTTGAAACACTCTTTTTGTAGTATCTGGATGTGGACATTTGGAACGCTTTCAGGCCTATGGTGAAAAAGGAAATATCTTCCCCTGAAAACTAGACAGAAGCATTCTCAGAAACTTATTTGTGATGTGCGCCCTCAACTAACAGTGTTGAAGCTTTCTTTTGATAGAGCAGTTTTGAAACACTCTTTTTGTGGAATCTGCAAGTGGATATTTGTCTAGCTTTGAGGATTTCGTTGGAAACGGGATTACATATAAAAAGCAGACAGCAGCATTCCCAGAATCTTCTTTGTGATGTTTGCATTCAAGTCCCAGAGTTGAACATTCCGTTTCATAGAGCAGGTTTGAAACACTCTTTTTATAGTATCTGGATGTGGACATTTGGAGCGCTTTCAGGCCTATGGTGAAAAAGGAAATATCTTCTCCTGAAAACAAGACAGAAGCATTCTCAGAATCTTATTTGTGATGTGCGCCCTCAGCTAACAGTGTTGAAGCTTTCTTTTGATAGAGCAGTTTTGAAACAGTCTTTTTGTAAAATCTGCAAGAGGATATTTGGATAGCTTTGAGGATTTCATTGGAAACGGGATTTTCTTCATATAAACTCAAGACAGAAGCATTCTCAGAAGCTTCATTGGGATGTTTCAATTGAAGTCACAGTGTTGAAAAGTCCCTTTCATAGAGCAGGTTTGAAACACTCTTTTTGTAGTATCTGGAAGTGGACATTGGGAGCGCTCTCAGGACTACGGTGAAAAAGGAAATATCTTCCAATAAAAGCTACATAGAAGAAATGTCAGAAACATTTTCATGATGTATCTACTCAGCTAACAGAGTTGAAACTTTCTTTTGAGAGAGCAGTTTTGAAACACTCTTTTTGTGGAATCTGCAAGTGGATATTTGTCTAGCTTTGAGGATTTCGTTGGAAACGGGATTACATATAAAAAGCAGACAGCAGCATTCCCAGAATCTTCTTTTTGATGTTTGCATTCAAGTCCCAGAGTTGAACATTCTGTTTCATAGAGCAGGTTTGAAACACTCTTTTTATAGTATCTGGATGTGGACATTTGGAGCGCTTTCAGGCCTATGGTGAAAAAGGAAATATCTTCTCCTGAAAACAAGACAGAAGCATTCTCAGAATCTTATTTGTGATGTGCGCCCTCAGCTAACAGTGTTGAAGCTTTCTTTTGATAGAGCAGTTTTGAAACAGTCTTTTTGTAAAATCTGCAAGAGGATATTTGGATAGCTTTGAGGATTTCATTGGAAACGGGATTTTCTTCATATAAACTCAAGACAGAAGCATTCTCAGAAGCTTCATTGGGATGTTTCAATTGAAGTCACAGTGTTGAAAAGTCCCTTTCATAGAGCAGGTTTGAAACACTCTTTTTGTAGTATCTGGAAGTGGACATTTGGAGCGCTCTCAGGACTACGGTGAAAAAGGAAATATCTTCCAATAAAAGCTACATAGAAGCAATGTCAGAAACTTTTTCATGATGTATCTACTCAGCTAACAGAGTTGAAACTTTCTTTTGAGAGAGCAGTTTTGAAACACTCTTTTTGTGGAATCTGCAAGTGGATATTTGTCTAGCTTTGAGGATTTCGTTGGAAACGGGATTACATATAAAAAGCAGACAGCAGCATTCCCAGAAACTTCTTTTTGATGTTTGCATTCAAGTCAGAGAGTTGAACATTCCCTTTCATAGAGCATGTTTGAAACACTCTTTTTGTAGTATCTGGATGTGGACATTTGGAGCGCTTTCAGGCCTATGGTGAAAAAGGAAATATCTTCCCCTGAAAACTAGACAGAAGCATTCTCAGAATCTTATTTGTGATGTGCGCCCTCAACTAACAGTGTTGAAGCTTTCTTTTGATAGAACAGTTTTGAAACACTCTTTTTGTAAAATCTGCAAGAGGATATTTGGATAGCTTTGAGGATTTCGTTGGAAACGGGATTGTCTTCATATAAACTCTAGACAGAAGCATTCTCAGAAGCTTCATTGGGATGTTTCAATTGAAGTCACAGTGTTGAACAGTCCCTTTCATAGAGCAGGTTTGAAACACTCTTTTTGTAGTACCTGGAAATGGACATTTGGAGCGCTCTCAGGACTACGGTGAAAAAGGAAATATCTTCCAATAAAAGCTACATAGAAGCAATGTCAGAAACTTTTTCGTGATGTATCTACTCAGCTAACAGCTTTGAACCTTTCTTTTGAGAGAGCAGTTTTGAAACACTCTTTTTGTGGAATCTGCAAGTGGATATTTGTCTAGCTTTGAGGATTTCGTTGGAAACGGGATTACATATAAAAAGCAGACAGCAGCATTCCCAGTAACTTGTTTGTGATGTTTCCATTCAAGTCACAGAGTTGAACATTCCCTTTCATAGAGCAGGTTTGAAACACTCTTTTTGTAGTATCTGGATGTGGACATTTGGAGCGCTTTCAGGCCTATGGTGAAAAAGGAAATATCTTCCCCTGAAAACTAGACAGAAGCATTCTCAGAATCTTATTTGTGATGTGCGCCCTCAACTAACAGTGTTGAAGCTTTCTTTTGATAGAGCAGTTTTGAAACACTCTTTTTGTAAAATCTGCAAGAGGATATTTGGATAGCTTTGAGGATTTCGTTGGAAACGGGATTATCTTCATATAAACTCTAGACAGAAGCATTCTCAGAAGCTTCATTGGGATGTTTCAATTGAAGTCACAATGTTGAACAGTCCCTTTCATAGAGCAGGTTTGAAACACTCTTTTTGTAGTATCTGGATGTGGACATTTGGAGCGCTTTCAGGCCTATGGTGAAAAAGGAAATATCTTCCCCTGAAAACTAGACAGAAGCATTCTCAGAAACTTATTTGTGATGTGCGCCCTCAACTAACAGTGTTGAAGCTTTCTTTTGATAGAGCAGTTTTGAAACACTCTTTTTGTGGAATCTGCAAGTGGATATTTGTCTAGATTTGAGGATTTCGTTGGAAACGGGATTACATATAAAAAGCAGACAGCAGCATTCTCAGAATCTTCTTTGTGATGTTTGCATTCAAGTCCCAGAGTTGAACATTCCGTTTCATAGAGCAGGTTTGAAACACTCTTTTTATAGTATCTGGATGTGGACATTTGGAGCGCTTTCAGGCCTATGGTGAAAAAGGAAATATCTTCTCCTGAAAACAAGACAGAAGCATTTTCAGAATCTTATTTGTGATGTGCGCCCTCAGCTAACAGTGTTGAAGCTTTCTTTTGATAGAGCAGTTTTGAAACAGTCTTTTTGTAAAATCTGCAAGAGGATATTTGGATAGCTTTGGGGATTTCATTGGAAACGGGATTTTCTTCATATAAACTCAAGACAGAAGCATTCTCAGAAGCTTCATTGGGATGTTTCAATTGAAGTCACAGTGTTGAACAGTCCCTTTCATAGAGCAGGTTTGAAACACTCTTTTTGTAGTATCTGGAAGTGGACATTTGGAGCGCTCTCAGGACTACAGTGAAAAAGGAAATATCTTCCAATAAAAGCTACATAGAAGCAATGTCAGAAACTTTTTCATGATGTATCTACTCAGCTAACA
Source organism: Homo sapiens (assembly GCF_000001405.40). Taxonomy (NCBI): domain Eukaryota; kingdom Metazoa; phylum Chordata; class Mammalia; order Primates; family Hominidae; genus Homo; species Homo sapiens. The sequence goes on from NT_187370.1 coordinate 106,444, forward strand.
GAGTTGAAACTTTCTTTTGAGAGAGCAGTTTTGAAACACTCTTTTTGTGGAATCTGGAAGTGGATATTTGTCTAGCTTTGAGGATTTCGTTGGAAACGGGATTAAATATAAAAGGCAGACAGCAGCATTCCCAGTAACTTCTTTGTGATGTTTACATTCAAGTCACAGAGTTGAACATTCCCTTTCATAGAGCAGGTTTGAAACACTCTTTTTGTAGTATCTGGATGTGGACATTTGGAGCGCTTTCAGGCCTATGGTGAAAAAGGAAATATCTTCCCCTGAAAACTAGACAGAAGAATTCTCAGAATCTTATTTGTGATGTGCGCCCTCAACTAACAGTGTTGAAGCTTTCTTTTGATAGAGCAGTTTTGAAACACTCTTTTTGTAAAATCTGCAAGAGGATATTTGGATAGCTTTGAGGATTTCGTTGGAAACGGGATTCTCTTCATATAAACTCTAGACAGAAGCATTCTCAGAAGCCTCATTGGGATGTTTCAATTGAAGTCACAGTGTTGAACAGTCCCTTTCATAGAGCAGGTTTGAAACACTCTTTTTGTAGTATTTGGAAGTGGACATTTGGAGCGCTTTCAGGCCTATGGTGAAAAAGGAAATATCTTCCTCTGAAAACTAGACAGAAGCATTCTCAGAAACTTATTTGTGATGTGCGCCCTCAACTAACAGTGTTGAAGGTTTCTTTTGATAGAGCAGTTTTGAAACACTCTTTTTGTGGAATCTGCAAGTGGATATTTGTCTAGCTTTGAGGATTTCGTTGGAAACGGGATTACATATAAAAAGCAGACAGCAGCATTCCCAGAAACTTCTTTGTGATGTTTGCATTCAAGTCACAGAGTTGAACATTCCCTTTCATACAGCAGGTTTGAAACACTCTTTTTGTAGTATCTGGATGTGGACATTTGGAGCGCTTTCAGGCCTATGGTGAAAAAGGAAATATCTTCCCCTGAAAACTAGACAGAAGAATTCTCAGAATCTTATTTGTGATGTGCGCCCTCAACTAACAGTGTTGAAGCTTTCTTTTGATAGAGCAGTTTTGAAACACTCTTTTTGTAAAATCTGCAAGAGGATATTTGGATAGCTTTGAGGATTTCGTTGGAAACGGGATTGTCTTCATATAAACTCTAGACAGAAGCATTCTCAGAAGCTTCATTGGGATGTTTCAATTGAAGTCACAGTGTTGAACAGTCCCTTTCATAGAGCAGGTTTGAAACACTCTTTTTGTAGTATCTAGATGTGGACATTTGGAGCGCTTTCAGGCCTATGGTGAAAAAGGAAATATCTTCCCCTGAAAACTAGACAGAAGCATTCTCAGAAACTTTTTTGTGATGTGCGCCCTCAACTAACAGTGTTGAAGCTTTCTTTTGATAGAGCAGTTTTGAAACACTCTTTTTGTGGAATCTGCAAGTGGATATTTGTCTAGCTTTGAGGATTTCGTTGGAAACGGGATTACATATAAAAAGCAGACAGCAGCATTCCCAGAATCTTCTTTGTGATGTTTGCATTCAAGTCCCAGAGTTGAACATTCCGTTTCATAGAGCAGGTTTGAAACACTCTTTTTATAGTATCTGGATGTGGACATTTGGAGCGCTTTCAGGCCTATGGTGAAAAAGGAAATATCTTCTCCTGAAAACAAGACAGAAGCATTTTCAGAATCTTATTTGTGATGTGCGCCCTCAGCTAACAGTGTTGAAGCTTTCTTTTGATAGAGCAGTTTTTAAACAGTCTTTTTGTAAAATCTGCAAGAGGATATTTGGATAGCTTTGGGGATTTCATTGGAAACGGGATTTTCTTCATATAAACTCAAGACAGAAGCATTCTCAGAAGCTTCATTGGGATGTTTCAATTGAAGTCACAGTGTTGAAAAGTCCCTTTCATAGAGCAGGTTTGAAACACTCTTTTTGTAGTATCTGGAAGTGGACATTTGGAGCGCTCTCAGGACTACGGTGAAAAAGGAAATATCTTCCAATAAAAGCTACATAGAAGCAATGTCAGAAACTTTTTCATGATGTATCTACTCAGCTAACAGAGTTGAACCTTTCTTTTGAGAGAGCAGTTTTGAAACACTCTTTTTGTGGAATCTGGAAGTGGATATTTGTCTAGCTTTGAGGATTTCGTTGGAAACGGGATTACATATAAAAAGCAGACAGCAGCATTCCCAGTAACTTGTTTGTGATGTTTGCATTCAAGTCACAGAGTTGAACATTCCCTTTCATAGAGCAGGTTTGAAACACTCTTTTTGTAGTATCTGGATGTGGACATTTGGAGCGCTTTCAGGCCTATGGTGAAAAAGGAAATATCTTCCCCTGAAAACTAGACAGAAGCATTCTCAGAATCTTATTTGTGATGTGCGCCCTCAACTAACAGTGTTGAAGGTTTCTTTTGATAGAGCAGTTTTGAAACACTCTTTTTGTAAAATCTGCAAGAGGATATTTGGATAGCTTTGAGGATTTCGTTGGAAACGGGATTGTCTTCATATAAACTCTAGACAGAAGCATTCTCAGAAGCCTCATTGGGATGTTTCAATTGAAGTCACAGTGTTGAACAGTCCCTTTGATAGAGCAGGTTTGAAACACCCTTTTTGTAGGATCTGGAAGTGGACATTTGGAGCGCTTTCAGGCCTATGGTGAAAAAGGAAATATCTTCCTCTGAAAACTAGACAGAAGCATTCTCAGAAACTTATTTGTGATGTGCGCCCTCAACTAACAGTGCTGAAGCTTTCTTTTGATAGAGCAGTTTTGAAACACTCTTTTTGTGGAATCTGCAAGTGGATATTTGTCTAGCTTTGAGGATTTCGTTGGAAAGGGGATTACATATAAAAAGCAGACAGCAGCATTCCCAGAAACTTCTTTGTGATGTTTGCATTCAAGTCACAGAGTTGAACATTCCCTTTCATACAGCAGGTTTGAAACACTCTTTTTGTAGTATCTGGATGTGGACATTTGGAGCGCTTTCAGGCCTATGGTGAAAAAGGAAATATCTTCCCCTGAAAACTAGACAGAAGCATTCTCAGAATCTTATTTGTGATGTGCGCCCTCAACTAACAGTGTTGAAGCTTTCTTTTGATAGAGCAGTTTTGATACACTCTTTTTGTAAAATCTGCAAGAGGATATTTGGATAGCTTTGAGGATTTCGTTGGAAGCGGGATTGTCTTCATATAAACTCTAGACAGAAGCATTCTCAGAAGCTTCATTGGGATGTTTCAATTGAAGTCACAGTGTTGAACAGTCCCTTTCATAGAGCAGGTTTGAAACACTCTTTTTGTAGTATCTGGAAGTGGACATTTGGAGAGATCTCAGGACTACGGTGAAAAAGGAAATATCTTCCAATAAAAGCTAGATAGAAGCAATGTCAGAAACTTTTTCATCATGTGTCTACTCAGCTAACAGAGTTGAACCTTTCTTTTGAGAGAGCAGTTTTGAAACACTCTTTTTGTGGAATCTGCAAGTGGATATTTGTCTAGCTTTGAGGATTTCGTTGGAAACGGGATTACATATGAAAAGCAGACAGCAGCATTCCCAGAATCTTCTTTGTGATGTTTGCATTCAAGTCACAGAGTTGAACATTCCCTTTCATAGAGCAGGGTTGAAACACTCTTTTTGTAGTATCTGGATGTGGACATTTGGAGCGCTTTCAGGCCTATGGTGAAAAACGAAATATCTTCCCCTGAAAACTAGACAGAAGCATTCTCAGAATCTTATTTGTGATGTGCGCCCTCAACTAACAGTGTTGAAGCTTTCTTTTGATAGAGCAGTTTTGGAACACTCTTTTTGTAAAATCTGCAAGAGGATATTTGGATAGCTTTGAGGATTTCGTTGGAAACGGTATTGTCTTCATATAAACTCTAGACAGAAGCATTCTCAGAAGCTTCATTGGGATGTTTCAATTGAAGTCACAGTGTTGAACAGTCCCTTTCATAGAGTAGGTTTGAAACACCCTTTTTGTAGGATCTGGAAGTGGACATTTGGAGAGATCTCAGGAATACGGTGACAAAGGAAATATCTTCCAATAAAAGCTAGATAGAAGCAATGTCAGAAACTTTTTCATGATGTATCTACTCAGCTAACAGAGTTGAACCTTTCTTTTGAGAGAGCAGTTTTGAAACACTCTTTTTGTGGAATCTGCAAGTGGATATTTGTCTAGCTTTGAGGATTTCGTTGGAAACGGGATTACATATAAAAAGCAGACAGCAGCATTCCCAGTAACTCCTTTGTGATGTTTGCATTCAAGTCACAGAGTTGAACATTCCCTTTCATAGAGCAGGTTTGAAACACTCTTTTTGTAGTATCTGGATGTGGACATTTGGAGCGCTTTCAGGCCTATGGTGAAAAAGGAAATATCTTCCCCTGAAAACTAGACAGAAGCATTCTCAGAATCTTATTTGTGATGTGCGCCCTCAACTAGCAGTGTTGAAGCTTTCTTTTGATAGAGCAGTTTTGAAACACTCTTTTTGTAAAATCTGCAAGAGGATATTTGGATAGCTTTGGGGATTTCGTTGGAAATGGGATTGTCTTAATATAAACTCTAGACAGAAGCATTCTCAGAAGCTTCATTGGGATGTTTCAATTGAAGTCACAGTGTTGAACAGTCCCTTTCATAGAGCAGGTTTGAAACACTCTTTTTGTAGTATCTGGAAGTGGACATTTGGAGCGCTCTCAGGACTGCGGTGAAAAAGGAAATATCTTCCAATAAAAGCTAGATAGAAGCAATGTCAGAAACTTTTTCATGATCTATCTACTCAGCTAACAGAGTTGAACCTTTCTTTTGAGAGAGCAGTTTGAAACACTCTTTTTGTGGAATCTGCAAGTGGATATTTGTCTAGCTTTGAGGATTTCGTTGGAAACGGGATTACATATAAAAAGCAGACAGCAGCATTCCCAGAAACTTCTTTGTGATGTTTCCATTCAAGTCACAGAGTTGAACATTCCCTTTCATAGAGCAGGTTTGAAACACTCTTTTTGTAGTATCTGTATGTGGACATTTGGAGCGCTTTCAGGCCTATGGTGAAAAAGGAAATATCTTCCCCTGGAAACTAGACAGAAGCATTCTCAGAAACTTATTTGTGATGTGCGCCCTCAACTAACAGTGTTGAAGCTTTCTTTTGATAGAGCAGTTTTGAAACACTCTTTTTGTAAAATCTGCAAGAGGATATTTGGATAGCTTTGAGGATTTCGTTGGAAACGGGATTGTCTTCATATAAACTATAGACAGAAGCATTCTCAGAAGCTTCATTGGGATGTTTCAATTGAAGTCACAGTGTTGAACAGTTCCTTTCATAGAGCAGGTTTGAAACACTCTTTTTGTAGTATCTCGAAGTGGACATTTGGAGCGCTCTCAGGACTACGGTGAAAAAGGAAATATCTTCCAATAAAAGCTACATAGAAGCAATGTCAGAAACTTTTTCATGATGTATCTACTCAGCTAACAGAGTTGAACCTTTCCTTTGAGGGAGCAGTTTTGAAACACTCTTGTTGTGGAATCTGCAAGTGGATATTTTTCTAGCTTTGAGGATTTCGTTGGAAACGGGATTACATATAAAAAGCAGACAGCAGCATTCCCAGTAACTTCTTTGTGATGTTTGCATTCAAGTCACAGAGTTGAACATTCCCTTTCATAGAGCAGGTTTGAAACACTCTTTTTGTAGTATCTGGATGTGGACATTTGGAGCGCTTTCAGGCCTATGGTGAAAAAGGAAATATCTTCCCCTGAAAACTAGACAGAAGCATTCTCAGAAACTTATTTGTGATGTGCGCCCTCAACTAACAGTGTTGAACCTTTCTTTTGATAGAGCAGTTTTGAAACACTCTTTTTGTAATATCTGCAAGAGGATATTTGGATAGCTTTGAGGATTTCGTTGGAAACGGGATTGTCTTCATATAAACTCTAGACAGTAGCATTCTCAGAAGCTTCATTGGGATGTTTCAATTGAAGTCACAGTGTTGAACAGTCCCTTTCATAGAGCAGGTTTGAAACACCCTTTTTGTAGTATCTGGAAGTGGACATTTGGAGCGCTCTCAGGACTACGGTGAAAAAGGAAATATCTTCCAATAAAGGCTACATAGAAGCAATATCAGAAACTTTTTCATGATGTATCTACTCAGCTAACAGAGTTGAACCTTTCTTTTGAGAGAGCAGTTTTGAAACACTCTTTTTGTGGAATCTGCAAGTGGATATTTGTCTAGCTTTGAGGATTTCGTTGGAAACGGGATTACATATAAAAAGCAGACAGCAGCATTCCCAGAAATTTCTTTGTGATGTTTGCATTCAAGTCACAGAGTTGAACATTCCCTTTCATAGAGCAGGTTTGAAACACTCTTTTTGTAGTATCTGGATGTGGACATTTGGAGCGCTTTCAGGCCAATGGTGAAAAAGGAAATATCTTCCCCTGAAAACTAGACAGAAGCATTCTCAGAATCTTATTTGTGATGTGCGCCCTCAACTAACAGTGTTGAAGCTTTCTTTTGATAGAGCAGTTTTGAAACACTCTTTTTGTAAAATCTGCAAGAGGATATTTGGATGGCTTTGAGGATTTCGTTGGAAACGGGATTGTCTTCATATAAACTCTAGACAGAAGCATTCTCAGAAGCTTCATTGGGATGTTTCAATTGAAGTCACAGTGTTGAACAGTCCCTTTCATAGAGCAGGTTTGAAACACTCTTTTTGTAGTATCTGGAAGTGGACATTTGGAGCGCTCTCAGGACTGCGGTGAAAAAGGAAGTATCTTCCAATAAAAGCTAGATAGAAGCAATGTCAGAAACTTTTTCATGACGTATCTACTCAGCTAACAGAGTTGAACCTTTCTTTTGAGAGAGCAGTTTTGAAACACTCTTTTTGTGGAATCTGCAAGTGGATATTTGTCTAGCTTGAGGATTTCGTTGGAAACGGGATTACATATAAAAAGCAGACAGCAGCATTCCCAGAAACTTCTTTGTGATGTTTGCATTCAAGTCACACAGCTGAACATTCCCTTTCATAGAGCAGGTTTGAAACACTCTTTTTGCAGTATCTGTATGTGGACATTTGGAGCGCTTTCAGGCCTATGGTGAAAAAGGAAATATCTTCCCCTGAAAACTAGACAGAAGCATTCTCAGAAACTTATTTGTGATGTGCGCCCTCAACTAACAGTGTTGAACCTTTCTTTTGATAGAGCAGTTTTGAAACACACTTTTTGTAATATCTGCAAGAGGATATTTGGATAGCTTTGAGGATTTCATTGGAAACGGGATTGTCTTCATATAAACTCTAGACAGAAGCATTCTCAGAAGCTTCATTGGGATGTTTCAATTGAAGTCACAGTGTTGAACAGTTCCGTTCAGAGAGCAGGTTTGAAACACTCTTTTTGTAGTATCTGGAAGTGGACATTTGGAGCGCTCTCAGGACTACGGTGAAAAAGGAAATATCTTCCAATAAAAGCTACATAGAAGCAATGTCAGAAACTTTTTCATGATGTATCTACTCAGCTAACAGAGTTGAACCTTTCTTTTGAGAGAGCAGTTTTGAAACACTCTTTTTGTGGAATCTGCAAGTGGATATTTGTCTAGCTTTGAGGATTTCGTTGGAAACGGGATTACATATAAAAAGCAGACAGCAGCATTCCCAGTAACTTCTTTGTGATGTTTGCATTCAAGTCACAGGGTTGAACATTCCCTTTCATAGAGCAGGTTTGAAACACTCTTTTTGTAGTATCTGTATGTGGACATTTTGAGCGCTTTCAGGCCTATGGTGAAAAAGGAAATATCTTCCCCTGAAAACTAGACAGAAGCATTCTCAGAATCTTATTTGTGATGTGCGCCCTCAACTAACAGTGTTGAAGCTTTCTTTTGATAGAGCAGTTTTGAAACACTCTTTTTGTAATATCTGCAAGAGGATATTTGGATAGCTTTGAGGATTTCGTTGGAAACGGGATTGTCTTCATATAAACTCTAGACAGAAGCATTCTCAGAAGCTTCATTGGGATGTTTCAATTGAAGTCACAGTGTTGAACAGTCCCTTTCATAGAGCAGGTTTGAAACACTCTTTTTGTAGTATCTGGATGTGGACATTTGGAGCGCTTTCAGGCCTATGGTGAAAAAGGAAATATCTTCCTCTGAAAACTAGACAGAAGCATTCTCAGAAACTTATTTGTGATGTGCGCCCTCAACTAACAGTGTTGAAGCTTTCTTTTGATAGAGCAGTTTTGAAACACTCTTTTTATGGAATCTGCAAGTGGATATTTGTCTAGCTTTGAGGATTTCGTTGGAAACTTGATTACATATAAAAAGCAGACAGCAGCATTCCCAGAATCTTCTTTGTGATGTTTGCATTCAAGTTCCAGAGTTGAACATTCCGTTTCATAGAGCAGGTTTGAAACACTCTTTTTATAGTATCTGGATGTGGACATTTGGAGCGCTTTCAGGCCTATGGTGAAAAAGGAAATATCTTCTCCTGAAAACAAGACAGAAGCATTCTCAGAATCTTATTTGTGATGTGCGCCCTCAGCTAAGAGTGTTGAAGCTTTCTTTTGATAGAGCAGTTTTGAAACACTCTTTTCGTAAAATCTGCAAGAGGATATTTGGATAGCTTTGAGGATTTCATTGGAAACGGGATTTTCTTCATATAAACTCAAGACAGAAGCATTCTCAGAAGCTTCATTGGGATGTTTCAATTGAAGTCACAGTGTTGAAAAGTCCCTTTCATAGAGCAGGTTTGAAACACTCTTTTTGTAGTATCTGGAAGTGGACATTTGGAGCGCTCTCAGGACTACGGTGAAAAAGGAAATATCTTCCAATAAAAGCTACATAGAAGCAATGTCAGAAACATTTTCATGATGTATCTACTCAGCTAACAGAGTTGAAACTTTCTTTTGAGAGAGCAGTTTTGAAACACTCTTTTTGTGGAATCTGCAAGTGGATATTTGTCTAGCTTTGAGGATTTCGTTGGAAACGGGATTACATATAAAAAGCAGACAGCAGCATTCCCAGAAACTTCTTTGTGATGTTTGCATTCAAGTCACAGAGTTGAACATTCCCTTTCATAGAGCAGGTTTGAAACACTCTTTTTGTAGTATCTGGATGTGGACATTTGGAGCGCTTTCAGGCATATGGTGAAAAAGGAAATATCATCCCATGAAAACTAGACAGAAGCATTCTCAGAATCTTATTTGTGATGTACGCCCTCAACTAACAGTGCTGAAGCTTTCTTTTGATAGAGCAGTTTTGAAACACTCTTTTTGTAAAATCTGCAAGAGGATATTTGCATAGCTTTGAGGATTTCGTTGGAAACGGGATTGTCTTCATATAAACTCTAGACAGAAGCATTCTCAGAAGCTTCATTGGGATGTTTCAATTGAAGTCACAGTGTTGAACAGTCCCTTTCATAGAGCAGGTTTGAAACACTCTTTTTGTAGTATCTGGAAGTGGACATTTGGAGAGATCTCAGGAATACGGTGACAAAGGAAATATCTTCCAATAAAAGCTAGATAGAAGCAATGTCAGAAAATTTTTCATGATGTATCTACTCAGCTAACAGAGTTGAACCTTTCTTTTGATAAAGCAGTTTTGAAACACTCTTTTTATGGAATCTGCAAGTGGACATTTGTCTAGCTTTGAGGATTTCGTTGGAAACGGGATTACATATAAAAAGCAGACAGCAGCATTCCCAGAATCTTGTTTGTGGTGTTTGCATTCAAGTCACAGAGTTGAACATTCCCTTTCAGAGAGCAGGTTTGAAACACTCTTTTTATAGAATCTGGATGTGGACATTTGGAGCGCTTTCAGGCCTATGGTGAAAAAGGAAATATCTTCTCCTGAAAACTAGACAGAAGCATTCTCAGAATCTTATTTGTGATGTGCGCCCTCAACTAACAGTGTTGAAGCTTTCTTTTGATAGAGCAGTTTTGAAACACACTTTTTGTAAAATCTGCAAGAGGATATTTGGATAGCTTTGAGGATTTCATTGGAAACGGGATTGTCTTCATATAAACTCTAGACAGAAGCATTCTCAGAAGCTTCATTGGGATGTTTCAATTGAAGTCACAGTGTTGAACAGTCCCTTTCATAGAGCAGGTTTGAAACACTCTTTTTGTAGTATCTGGAAGTGGACATTTGGAGAGATCTCAGGACTACGGTGAAAAAGGAAATATCTTCCAATAAAAGCTAGATAGAAGCAATGTCAGAAACTTTTTCATGATGTATCTACTCAGCTAACAGAGTTGAACCTTTCTTTTGAGAGAGCAGTTTTGAAACACTCTTTTTGTGGAATCTGCAAGTGGATATTTGTCTAGCTTTGAGGATTTCGTTGGAAACGGGATTACGTATAAAAAGCAGACAACAGCATTCCCAGTAACTTCTTTGTGATGTTTGCATTCAAGTCACAGAGTTGAACATTCCCTTTCATAGAGCAGGTTTGAAACACTCTTTTTGTAGTATCTGGATGTGGACATTTGGAGCGCTTTCAGGCCTATGGTGAAAAAGGAAATATCTTCCCCTGAAAACTAGACAGAAGCATTCTCAGAAACTTATTTGTGATGTGCGCCCTCAACTAACAGTGTTGAACCTTTCTTTTGATAGAGCAGTTTTGAAACACTCTTTTTGTAATATCTGCAAGAGGATATTTGGATAGCATTGAGGATTTCGTTGGAAACGGGATTGTCATCATATAAACTCTAGACAGAAGCATTCTCAGAAGCTTCATTGGGATGTTTCAATTGAAGTCACAGTGTTGAACAGTCCCTTTCATAGAGCAGGTTTGAAACACTCTTTTTGTAGTATCTGGATGTGGACATTTGGAGCGCTTTCAGGCCTATGATGAAAAAGGAAATATCTTCACCTGAAAACTAGACAGAAGCATTCTCAGAAACTTATTTGTGATGTGCGCCCTCAACTAACAGTGTTGAAGCTTTCTTTTGATAGAGCAGTTTTGAAACACTCTTTTTGTGGAATCTGCAAGTGGATATTTGTCTAGCTTTGAGGATTTCGTTGGAAACGGGATTACATATAAAAAGCAGACAGCAGCATTCTCAGAATCTTCTTTGTGATGTTTGCATTCAAGTCCGAGAGTTGAACATTCCGTTTCATAGAGCAGGTTTGAAACACTCTTTTTATAGTATCTGGATGTGGACATTTGGAGCGCTTTCAGGCCTATGGTGAAAAAGGAAATATCTTCTCCTGAAAACAAGACAGAAGCATTTTCAGAATCTTATTTGTGATGTGCGCCCTCAGCTAACAGTGTTGAAGCTTTCTTTTGATAGAGCAGTTTTGAAACAGTCTTTTTGTAAAATCTGCAAGAGGATATTTGGATAGCTTTGGGGATTTCATTGGAAACGGGATTTTCTTCATATAAACTCAAGACAGAAGCATTCTCAGAAGCTTCATTGGGATGTTTCAATTGAAGTCACAGTGTTGAACAGTCCCTTTCATAGAGCAGGTTTGAAACACTCTTTTTGTAGTATCTGGAAGTGGACATTTGGAGCGCTCTCAGGACTACAGTGAAAAAGGAAATATCTTCCAATAAAAGCTACATAGAAGCAATGTCAGAAACTTTTTCATGATGTATCTACTCAGCTAACAGAGTTGAAACTTTCTTTTGAGAGAGCAGTTTTGAAACACTCTTTTTGTGGAATCTGGAAGTGGATATTTGTCTAGCTTTGAGGATTTCGTTGGAAACGGGATTAAATATAAAAAGCAGACAGCAGCATTCCCAGTAACTTCTTTGTGATGTTTACATTCAAGTCACAGAGTTGAACATTCCCTTTCATAGAGCAGGTTTGAAACACTCTTTTTGTAGTATCTGGATGTGGACATTTGGAGCGCTTTCAGGCCTATGGTGAAAAACGAAATATCTTCCCCTGAAAACTAGACAGAAGCATTCTCAGAATCTTATTTGTGATGTGCGCCCTCAACTAACAGTGTTGAAGCTTTCTTTTGATAGAGCAGTTTTGAAACACTCTTTTTGTAAAATCTGCAAGAGGATATTTGGATAGCTTTGAGGATTTCGTTGGAAACGGGATTGTCTTCATATAAACTCTAGACAGAAGCATTCTCAGAAGCCTCATTGGGATGTTTCAATTGAAGTCACAGTGTTGAACAGTCCCTTTCATAGAGCAGGTTTGAAACACTCTTTTTGTAGTATCTGGAAGTGGACATTTGGAGCGCTTTCAGGCCTATGGTGAAAAAGGAAATATCTTCCTCTGAAAACTAGACAGAAGCATTCTCAGAAACTTATTTGTGATGTGCGCCCTCAACTAACAGTGTTGAAGCTTTCTTTTGATAGAGCAGTTTTGAAACACTCTTTTTGTGGAATCTGCAAGTGGATATTTGTCTAGCTTGGAGGATTTCGTTGGAAACGGGATTACATATAAAAAGCAGACAGCAGCATTCCCAGAAACTTCTTTGTGATGTTTGCATTCAAGTCACAGAGTTGAACATTCCCTTTCATAGAGCAGGTTTGAAACACTCTTTTTGTAGTATCTGGATGTGGACATTTGGAGCGCTTTCAGGCCTATGGTGAAAAACGAAATATCTTCCCCTGAAAACTAGACAGAAGCATTCTCAGAATCTTATTTGTGATGTGCGCCCTCAACTAACAGTGTTGAAGCTTTCTTTTGATAGAGCAGTTTTGGAACACTCTTTTTGTAAAATCTGCAAGAGGATATTTGGATAGCTTTGAGGATTTCGTTGGAAACGGGATTGTCTTCATATAAACTCTAGACAGAAGCATTCTCAGAAGCTTCATTGGGATGTTTCAATTGAAGTCACAGTGTTGAACAGTCCCTTTCATAGAGCAGGTTTGAAACACACTTTTTGTAGTATCTGGAAGTAGACATTTGGAGCTTTCTCAGGACTACGGTGAAAAAGGAAATATCTTCCAATAAAAGCTAGATAGAAGCAATGTCAGAAACTTTTTCATGATGTGTCTACTCAGCTAACAGAGTTGAACCTTTCTTTTGAGAGAGCAGTTTTGAAACACTCTTTTTGTGGAATCTGCAAGTGGATATTTGTCTAGCTTTGAGGATTTCGTTGGAAACGGGATTACATATAAAAAGCAGACAGCAGCATTCCCAGAAACTTCTTTGTGATGTTTGCATTCAAGTCACAGAGTTGAACATTCCCTTTCATAGAGCAGGTTTGAAACACTCTTTTTGTAGTATCTGGATGTGGACATTTGGAGCGTTTTCAGGCCTATGGTGAAAAAGGAAATATCTTCTCCTGAAAACTAGACAAAAGCATTCTCAGAATCTTATTTCTGATGTGCGCCCTCAGCTAACAGTGTTGAAGCTTTCTTTTGATAGAGCAGTTTTGAAACAGTCTTTTTGTAAAATCTGCAAGAGGATATTTGGATAGCTTTGAGGATTTCGTTGGAAACGGGATTGTCTTCATATAAACTCTAGACAGAAGCATTCTCAGAAGCTTCATTGGGATGTTTCAATTGAAGTCACAGTGTTGATCAGTCCCTTTCATAGAGCAGGTTTGAAACACTCTTTTTGTAGTATCTGGAAGTGGACATTTGGAGCGCTCTCAGGAATACGGTGACAAAGTAAATATCTTCCAATAAAAGCTAGATAGAAGCAATGTCAGAAAATTTTTCATGATGTATCTACTCAGCTAACAGAGTTGAACCTTTCTTTTGAGAGAGCAGTTTTGAAACACTCTTTTTGTGGAATCTGTAAGTGGATATTTGTCTAGCTTTGAGGATTTCGTTGGAAACGGGATTACATATAAAAAGCAGCCAGCAGCATTCCCAGAAACTTCTTTGTGAAGTTTGCATTCAAGTCACAGAGTTGAACATTCCATTTCATAGAGGAGGTTTGAAACACTCTTTTTGTAGTATCGGTATGTGGACATTTGGAGCGCTTTCAGGCCTATAGTGAAAAAGGAAATATCTTCCCCTGAAAACTAGACAGAAGCATTCTCAGAATCTTATTTGCGATGTCCGCCCTCAACTAACAGTGTTGAAGCTTTCTTTTGATAGAGCAGTTTTGAAACACTCTTTTTGTAAAATCTGCAAGAGGATATTTGGATAGCTTTGAGGATTTCGTTGGAAACGGGACTGTCTTCATATAAACTCTAGAGAGAAGCATTCTCAGAAGCTTCATTGGGATGTTTCAATTGAAGTCACAGTGTTGAACAGTCCCTTTCATAGAGCAGGTTTGAAACACTCTTTTTGTAGTATCTGGAAGTGGACATTTTGAGAGATCTCAGGACTACGGTGAAAAAGGAAATATCTTCCAATAAAAGCTAGATAGAAGCAATGTCAGAAACTTTTTCATCATGTGTCTACTCAGCTAACAGAGTTGAACCTTTCTTTTGAGAGAGCAGTTTTGAAACACTCTTTTTGTGGAATCTGCAAGTGGATATTTGTCTAGCTTTGAGGATTTCGTTGGAAACGGGATTACATATAAAAAGCAGACAGCAGCATTCCCAGAAACTTCTTTGTGAAGTTTGCATTCAAGTCACAGAGTTGAACATTCTCTTTCATAGAGCAGGTTTGAAACACTCTTTTTGTAGTATCTGGATGTGGACATTTGGAGCGCTTTCAGGCCTATGGTGAAAAAGGAAATATCTTCCCCTGAAAACTAGACAGAAGCATTCTCAGAATCTTATTTGTGATGTGCGCCCTCAACTAACAGTGTTGAAGCTTTCTTTTGATAGAGCAGTTTTGAAACACTCTTTTTGTAAAATCTGCAAGAGGATATTTGGATAGCTTTGAGGATTTCGTTGGAAACGGGATTGTCTCCATATAAACTCTAGACAGAAGCATTCTCAGAAGCTTCATTGGGATGTTTCAATTGAAGTCACAGTGTTGAACAGTCCCTTTCATAGAGCAGGTTTGAAACACTCTTTTTGTAGTATCTGGAAGTGGACATTTGGAGCGCTTTCAGGCCTATGGTTTAAAAGGAAATATCTTCCCCTGAAAACTAGACAGAAGCATTCTCAGAAACTTATTTGTGATGTGCGCCCTCAACTAACAGTGTTGAAGCTTTCTTTTGATAGAGCAGTTTTGAAACACTCTTTTTGTGGAATCTACAAGTGGATATTTGTCTAGCTTTGAGGATTTCGTTGGAAACGGGATTACATATAAAAAGCAGACAGCAGCATTCCCAGAAACTTCTTTGTGATGTTTGCATTCAAGTCACAGAGTGGAACATTCCCTTTCATAGAGCAGGTTTGAAACACTCTTTTTGTAGTATCTGGATGTGGACATTTGGAGCGCTTTCAGGCCTAAGGTGAAAAAGGAAATATCTTCCCCTGAAAACTAGACAGAAGCATTCTCAGAAACTTATTTGTGATGTGCGCCCTCAACTAACAGTGTTGAAGCTTTCTTTTGATAGAGCAGTTTTGAAACACTCTTTTTGTGGAATCTGCAAGTGGATATTTGTCTAGCTTTGAGGATTTCGTTGGAAACGGGATTACAAATAAAAAGCAGACAGCAGCATTCCCAGAATCTTGTTTGTGATGTTTGCATTCAAGACACAGAGTTGAACATTCCCTTTCAGAGAGCAGGTTTGAAACACTCTTTTTATAGTATCTGGATGTGGACATTTGGAGCGCTTTCAGGCCTATGGTGAAAAAGGAAATATCTTCCCCTGAAAACTAGACAGAAGCATTCTCAAAATCTTATTTGTGATGTGCGCCCTCAACTAACAGTGTTGAAGCTTTCTTTTGATAGAGCAGTTTTGAAACACTCTTTTTGTAAAATCTGCAAGAGGATATTTGGATAGCTTTGAGGATTTCGTTGGAAACGGGATTGTCTTCATATAAACTCTAGACAGAAGCATTCTCAGAAGCTTCATTGGGATGTTTCAATTGAAGTCACAGTGTTGAACAGTCCCTTTCATAGAGCAGGTTTGAAACACTCTTTTTGTAGTATCTGGAAGTGGACATTTGGAGAGATCTCAGGAATACGGTGACAAAGGAAATATCTTCCAATAAAAGCTAGATAGAAGCAATGTCAGAAAATTTTTCATGATGTATCTACTCAGCTAACAGAGTTGAACCTTTCTTTTGATAAAGCAGTTTTGAAACACTCTTTTTATGGAATCTGCAAGTGGACATTTGTCTAGCTTTGAGGATTTCGTTGGAAACGGGATTACATATAAAAAGCAGACAGCAGCATTCCCAGAATCTTGTTTGTGGTGTTTGCATTCAAGTCACAGAGTTGAACATTCCCTTTCAGAGAGCAGGTTTGAAACACTCTTTTTATAGAATCTGGATGTGGACATTTGGAGCGCTTTCAGGCCTATGGTGAAAAAGGAAATATCTTCTCCTGAAAACTAGACAGAAGCATTCTCAGAATCTTATTTGTGATGTGCGCCCTCAACTAACAGTGTTGAAGCTTTCTTTTGATAGAGCAGTTTTGAAACACACTTTTTGTAAAATCTGCAAGAGGATATTTGGATAGCTTTGAGGATTTCATTGGAAACGGGATTGTCTTCATATAAACTCTAGACAGAAGCATTCTCAGAAGCTTCATTGGGATGTTTCAATTGAAGTCACAGTGTTGAACAGTCCCTTTCATAGAGCAGGTTTGAAACACTCTTTTTGTAGTATCTGGAAGTGGACATTTGGAGAGATCTCAGGACTACGGTGAAAAAGGAAATATCTTCCAATAAAAGCTAGATAGAAGCAATGTCAGAAACTTTTTCATGATGTATCTACTCAGCTAACAGAGTTGAACCTTTCTTTTGAGAGAGCAGTTTTGAAACACTCTTTTTGTGGAATCTGCAAGTGGATATTTGTCTAGCTTTGAGGATTTCGTTGGAAACGGGATTACGTATAAAAAGCAGACAACAGCATTCCCAGTAACTTCTTTGTGATGTTTGCATTCAAGTCACAGAGTTGAACATTCCCTTTCATAGAGCAGGTTTGAAACACTCTTTTTGTAGTATCTGGATGTGGACATTTGGAGCGCTTTCAGGCCTATGGTGAAAAAGGAAATATCTTCCCCTGAAAACTAGACAGAAGCATTCTCAGAAACTTATTTGTGATGTGCGCCCTCAACTAACAGTGTTGAACCTTTCTTTTGATAGAGCAGTTTTGAAACACTCTTTTTGTAATATCTGCAAGAGGATATTTGGATAGCATTGAGGATTTCGTTGGAAACGGGATTGTCATCATATAAACTCTAGACAGAAGCATTCTCAGAAGCTTCATTGGGATGTTTCAATTGAAGTCACAGTGTTGAACAGTCCCTTTCATAGAGCAGGTTTGAAACACTCTTTTTGTAGTATCTGGATGTGGACATTTGGAGCGCTTTCAGGCCTATGATGAAAAAGGAAATATCTTCACCTGAAAACTAGACAGAAGCATTCTCAGAAACTTATTTGTGATGTGCGCCCTCAACTAACAGTGTTGAAGCTTTCTTTTGATAGAGCAGTTTTGAAACACTCTTTTTGTGGAATCTGCAAGTGGATATTTGTCTAGCTTTGAGGATTTCGTTGGAAACGGGATTACATATAAAAAGCAGACAGCAGCATTCTCAGAATCTTCTTTGTGATGTTTGCATTCAAGTCCGAGAGTTGAACATTCCGTTTCATAGAGCAGGTTTGAAACACTCTTTTTATAGTATCTGGATGTGGACATTTGGAGCGCTTTCAGGCCTATGGTGAAAAAGGAAATATCTTCTCCTGAAAACAAGACAGAAGCATTTTCAGAATCTTATTTGTGATGTGCGCCCTCAGCTAACAGTGTTGAAGCTTTCTTTTGATAGAGCAGTTTTGAAACAGTCTTTTTGTAAAATCTGCAAGAGGATATTTGGATAGCTTTGGGGATTTCATTGGAAACGGGATTTTCTTCATATAAACTCAAGACAGAAGCATTCTCAGAAGCTTCATTGGGATGTTTCAATTGAAGTCACAGTGTTGAACAGTCCCTTTCATAGAGCAGGTTTGAAACACTCTTTTTGTAGTATCTGGAAGTGGACATTTGGAGCGCTCTCAGGACTACAGTGAAAAAGGAAATATCTTCCAATAAAAGCTACATAGAAGCAATGTCAGAAACTTTTTCATGATGTATCTACTCAGCTAACAGAGTTGAAACTTTCTTTTGAGAGAGCAGTTTTGAAACACTCTTTTTGTGGAATCTGGAAGTGGATATTTGTCTAGCTTTGAGGATTTCGTTGGAAACGGGATTAAATATAAAAAGCAGACAGCAGCATTCCCAGTAACTTCTTTGTGATGTTTACATTCAAGTCACAGAGTTGAACATTCCCTTTCATAGAGCAGGTTTGAAACACTCTTTTTGTAGTATCTGGATGTGGACATTTGGAGCGCTTTCAGGCCTATGGTGAAAAACGAAATATCTTCCCCTGAAAACTAGACAGAAGCATTCTCAGAATCTTATTTGTGATGTGCGCCCTCAACTAACAGTGTTGAAGCTTTCTTTTGATAGAGCAGTTTTGAAACACTCTTTTTGTAAAATCTGCAAGAGGATATTTGGATAGCTTTGAGGATTTCGTTGGAAACGGGATTGTCTTCATATAAACTCTAGACAGAAGCATTCTCAGAAGCCTCATTGGGATGTTTCAATTGAAGTCACAGTGTTGAACAGTCCCTTTCATAGAGCAGGTTTGAAACACTCTTTTTGTAGTATCTGGAAGTGGACATTTGGAGCGCTTTCAGGCCTATGGTGAAAAAGGAAATATCTTCCTCTGAAAACTAGACAGAAGCATTCTCAGAAACTTATTTGTGATGTGCGCCCTCAACTAACAGTGTTGAAGCTTTCTTTTGATAGAGCAGTTTTGAAACACTCTTTTTGTGGAATCTGCAAGTGGATATTTGTCTAGCTTGGAGGATTTCGTTGGAAACGGGATTACATATAAAAAGCAGACAGCAGCATTCCCAGAAACTTCTTTGTGATGTTTGCATTCAAGTCACAGAGTTGAACATTCCCTTTCATAGAGCAGGTTTGAAACACTCTTTTTGTAGTATCTGGATGTGGACATTTGGAGCGCTTTCAGGCCTATGGTGAAAAACGAAATATCTTCCCCTGAAAACTAGACAGAAGCATTCTCAGAATCTTATTTGTGATGTGCGCCCTCAACTAACAGTGTTGAAGCTTTCTTTTGATAGAGCAGTTTTGGAACACTCTTTTTGTAAAATCTGCAAGAGGATATTTGGATAGCTTTGAGGATTTCGTTGGAAACGGGATTGTCTTCATATAAACTCTAGACAGAAGCATTCTCAGAAGCTTCATTGGGATGTTTCAATTGAAGTCACAGTGTTGAACAGTCCCTTTCATAGAGCAGGTTTGAAACACACTTTTTGTAGTATCTGGAAGTAGACATTTGGAGCTTTCTCAGGACTACGGTGAAAAAGGAAATATCTTCCAATAAAAGCTAGATAGAAGCAATGTCAGAAACTTTTTCATGATGTGTCTACTCAGCTAACAGAGTTGAACCTTTCTTTTGAGAGAGCAGTTTTGAAACACTCTTTTTGTGGAATCTGCAAGTGGATATTTGTCTAGCTTTGAGGATTTCGTTGGAAACGGGATTACATATAAAAAGCAGACAGCAGCATTCCCAGAAACTTCTTTGTGATGTTTGCATTCAAGTCACAGAGTTGAACATTCCCTTTCATAGAGCAGGTTTGAAACACTCTTTTTGTAGTATCTGGATGTGGACATTTGGAGCGTTTTCAGGCCTATGGTGAAAAAGGAAATATCTTCTCCTGAAAACTAGACAAAAGCATTCTCAGAATCTTATTTGTGATGTGCGCCCTCAACTAACAGTGTTGAAGCTTTCTTTTGATAGAGCAGTTTTGAAACACTCTTTTTGTAAAATCTGCAAGAGGATATTTGGATAGCTTTGAGGATTTCGTTGGAAACGGGATTGTCTCCATATAAACTCTAGACAGAAGCATTCTCAGAAGCTTCATTGGGATGTTTCAATTGAAGTCACAGTGTTGAACAGTCCCTTTCATAGAGCAGGTTTGAAACACTCTTTTTGTAGTATCTGGAAGTGGACATTTGGAGCGCTTTCAGGCCTATGGTTTAAAAGGAAATATCTTCCCCTGAAAACTAGACAGAAGCATTCTCAGAAACTTATTTGTGATGTGCGCCCTCAACTAACAGTGTTGAAGCTTTCTTTTGATAGAGCAGTTTTGAAACACTCTTTTTGTGGAATCTACAAGTGGATATTTGTCTAGCTTTGAGGATTTCGTTGGAAACGGGATTACATATAAAAAGCAGACAGCAGCATTCCCAGAAACTTCTTTGTGATGTTTGCATTCAAGTCACAGAGTGGAACATTCCCTTTCATAGAGCAGGTTTGAAACACTCTTTTTGTAGTATCTGGATGTGGACATTTGGAGCGCTTTCAGGCCTAAGGTGAAAAAGGAAATATCTTCCCCTGAAAACTAGACAGAAGCATTCTCAGAAACTTATTTGTGATGTGCGCCCTCAACTAACAGTGTTGAAGCTTTCTTTTGATAGAGCAGTTTTGAAACACTCTTTTTGTGGAATCTGCAAGTGGATATTTGTCTAGCTTTGAGGATTTCGTTGGAAACGGGATTACAAATAAAAAGCAGACAGCAGCATTCCCAGAATCTTGTTTGTGATGTTTGCATTCAAGACACAGAGTTGAACATTCCCTTTCAGAGAGCAGGTTTGAAACACTCTTTTTATAGTATCTGGATGTGGACATTTGGAGCGCTTTCAGGCCTATGGTGAAAAAGGAAATATCTTCCCCTGAAAACTAGACAGAAGCATTCTCAAAATCTTATTTGTGATGTGCGCCCTCAACTAACAGTGTTGAAGCTTTCTTTTGATAGAGCAGTTTTGAAACACTCTTTTTGTAAAATCTGCAAGAGGATATTTGGATAGCTTTGAGGATTTCGTTGGAAACGGGATTGTCTTCATATAAACTCTAGACAGAAGCATTCTCAGAAGCTTCATTGGGATGTTTCAATTGAAGTCACAGTGTTGAACAGTCCCTTTCATAGAGCAGGTTTGAAACACTCTTTTTGTAGTATCTGGAAGTGGACATTTGGAGAGATCTCAGGAATACGGTGACAAAGGAAATATCTTCCAATAAAAGCTAGATAGAAGCAATGTCAGAAAATTTTTCATGATGTATCTACTCAGCTAACAGAGTTGAACCTTTCTTTTGATAAAGCAGTTTTGAAACACTCTTTTTATGGAATCTGCAAGTGGACATTTGTCTAGCTTTGAGGATTTCGTTGGAAACGGGATTACATATAAAAAGCAGACAGCAGCATTCCCAGAATCTTGTTTGTGGTGTTTGCATTCAAGTCACAGAGTTGAACATTCCCTTTCAGAGAGCAGGTTTGAAACACTCTTTTTATAGAATCTGGATGTGGACATTTGGAGCGCTTTCAGGCCTATGGTGAAAAAGGAAATATCTTCTCCTGAAAACTAGACAGAAGCATTCTCAGAATCTTATTTGTGATGTGCGCCCTCAACTAACAGTGTTGAAGCTTTCTTTTGATAGAGCAGTTTTGAAACACACTTTTTGTAAAATCTGCAAGAGGATATTTGGATAGCTTTGAGGATTTCATTGGAAACGGGATTGTCTTCATATAAACTCTAGACAGAAGCATTCTCAGAAGCTTCATTGGGATGTTTCAATTGAAGTCACAGTGTTGAACAGTCCCTTTCATAGAGCAGGTTTGAAACACTCTTTTTGTAGTATCTGGAAGTGGACATTTGGAGAGATCTCAGGACTACGGTGAAAAAGGAAATATCTTCCAATAAAAGCTAGATAGAAGCAATGTCAGAAACTTTTTCATGATGTATCTACTCAGCTAACAGAGTTGAACCTTTCTTTTGAGAGAGCAGTTTTGAAACACTCTTTTTGTGGAATCTGCAAGTGGATATTTGTCTAGCTTTGAGGATTTCGTTGGAAACGGGATTACGTATAAAAAGCAGACAACAGCATTCCCAGTAACTTCTTTGTGATGTTTGCATTCAAGTCACAGAGTTGAACATTCCCTTTCATAGAGCAGGTTTGAAACACTCTTTTTGTAGTATCTGGATGTGGACATTTGGAGCGCTTTCAGGCCTATGGTGAAAAAGGAAATATCTTCCCCTGAAAACTAGACAGAAGCATTCTCAGAAACTTATTTGTGATGTGCGCCCTCAACTAACAGTGTTGAACCTTTCTTTTGATAGAGCAGTTTTGAAACACTCTTTTTGTAATATCTGCAAGAGGATATTTGGATAGCATTGAGGATTTCGTTGGAAACGGGATTGTCATCATATAAACTCTAGACAGAAGCATTCTCAGAAGCTTCATTGGGATGTTTCAATTGAAGTCACAGTGTTGAACAGTCCCTTTCATAGAGCAGGTTTGAAACACTCTTTTTGTAGTATCTGGATGTGGACATTTGGAGCGCTTTCAGGCCTATGATGAAAAAGGAAATATCTTCACCTGAAAACTAGACAGAAGCATTCTCAGAAACTTATTTGTGATGTGCGCCCTCAACTAACAGTGTTGAAGCTTTCTTTTGATAGAGCAGTTTTGAAACACTCTTTTTGTGGAATCTGCAAGTGGATATTTGTCTAGCTTTGAGGATTTCGTTGGAAACGGGATTACATATAAAAAGCAGACAGCAGCATTCTCAGAATCTTCTTTGTGATGTTTGCATTCAAGTCCGAGAGTTGAACATTCCGTTTCATAGAGCAGGTTTGAAACACTCTTTTTATAGTATCTGGATGTGGACATTTGGAGCGCTTTCAGGCCTATGGTGAAAAAGGAAATATCTTCTCCTGAAAACAAGACAGAAGCATTTTCAGAATCTTATTTGTGATGTGCGCCCTCAGCTAACAGTGTTGAAGCTTTCTTTTGATAGAGCAGTTTTGAAACAGTCTTTTTGTAAAATCTGCAAGAGGATATTTGGATAGCTTTGGGGATTTCATTGGAAACGGGATTTTCTTCATATAAACTCAAGACAGAAGCATTCTCAGAAGCTTCATTGGGATGTTTCAATTGAAGTCACAGTGTTGAACAGTCCCTTTCATAGAGCAGGTTTGAAACACTCTTTTTGTAGTATCTGGAAGTGGACATTTGGAGCGCTCTCAGGACTACAGTGAAAAAGGAAATATCTTCCAATAAAAGCTACATAGAAGCAATGTCAGAAACTTTTTCATGATGTATCTACTCAGCTAACAGAGTTGAAACTTTCTTTTGAGAGAGCAGTTTTGAAACACTCTTTTTGTGGAATCTGGAAGTGGATATTTGTCTAGCTTTGAGGATTTCGTTGGAAACGGGATTAAATATAAAAAGCAGACAGCAGCATTCCCAGTAACTTCTTTGTGATGTTTACATTCAAGTCACAGAGTTGAACATTCCCTTTCATAGAGCAGGTTTGAAACACTCTTTTTGTAGTATCTGGATGTGGACATTTGGAGCGCTTTCAGGCCTATGGTGAAAAACGAAATATCTTCCCCTGAAAACTAGACAGAAGCATTCTCAGAATCTTATTTGTGATGTGCGCCCTCAACTAACAGTGTTGAAGCTTTCTTTTGATAGAGCAGTTTTGAAACACTCTTTTTGTAAAATCTGCAAGAGGATATTTGGATAGCTTTGAGGATTTCGTTGGAAACGGGATTGTCTTCATATAAACTCTAGACAGAAGCATTCTCAGAAGCCTCATTGGGATGTTTCAATTGAAGTCACAGTGTTGAACAGTCCCTTTCATAGAGCAGGTTTGAAACACTCTTTTTGTAGTATCTGGAAGTGGACATTTGGAGCGCTTTCAGGCCTATGGTGAAAAAGGAAATATCTTCCTCTGAAAACTAGACAGAAGCATTCTCAGAAACTTATTTGTGATGTGCGCCCTCAACTAACAGTGTTGAAGCTTTCTTTTGATAGAGCAGTTTTGAAACACTCTTTTTGTGGAATCTGCAAGTGGATATTTGTCTAGCTTGGAGGATTTCGTTGGAAACGGGATTACATATAAAAAGCAGACAGCAGCATTCCCAGAAACTTCTTTGTGATGTTTGCATTCAAGTCACAGAGTTGAACATTCCCTTTCATAGAGCAGGTTTGAAACACTCTTTTTGTAGTATCTGGATGTGGACATTTGGAGCGCTTTCAGGCCTATGGTGAAAAACGAAATATCTTCCCCTGAAAACTAGACAGAAGCATTCTCAGAATCTTATTTGTGATGTGCGCCCTCAACTAACAGTGTTGAAGCTTTCTTTTGATAGAGCAGTTTTGGAACACTCTTTTTGTAAAATCTGCAAGAGGATATTTGGATAGCTTTGAGGATTTCGTTGGAAACGGGATTGTCTTCATATAAACTCTAGACAGAAGCATTCTCAGAAGCTTCATTGGGATGTTTCAATTGAAGTCACAGTGTTGAACAGTCCCTTTCATAGAGCAGGTTTGAAACACACTTTTTGTAGTATCTGGAAGTAGACATTTGGAGCTTTCTCAGGACTACGGTGAAAAAGGAAATATCTTCCAATAAAAGCTAGATAGAAGCAATGTCAGAAACTTTTTCATGATGTGTCTACTCAGCTAACAGAGTTGAACCTTTCTTTTGAGAGAGCAGTTTTGAAACACTCTTTTTGTGGAATCTGCAAGTGGATATTTGTCTAGCTTTGAGGATTTCGTTGGAAACGGGATTACATATAAAAAGCAGACAGCAGCATTCCCAGAAACTTCTTTGTGATGTTTGCATTCAAGTCACAGAGTTGAACATTCCCTTTCATAGAGCAGGTTTGAAACACTCTTTTTGTAGTATCTGGATGTGGACATTTGGAGCGTTTTCAGGCCTATGGTGAAAAAGGAAATATCTTCTCCTGAAAACTAGACAAAAGCATTCTCAGAATCTTATTTCTGATGTGCGCCCTCAGCTAACAGTGTTGAAGCTTTCTTTTGATAGAGCAGTTTTGAAACAGTCTTTTTGTAAAATCTGCAAGAGGATATTTGGATAGCTTTGAGGATTTCGTTGGAAACGGGATTGTCTTCATATAAACTCTAGACAGAAGCATTCTCAGAAGCTTCATTGGGATGTTTCAATTGAAGTACAGTGTTGATCAGTCCCTTTCATAGAGCAGGTTTGAAACACTCTTTTTGTAGTATCTGGAAGTGGACATTTGGAGCGCTCTCAGGAATACGGTGACAAAGTAAATATCTTCCAATAAAAGCTAGATAGAAGCAATGTCAGAAAATTTTTCATGATGTATCTACTCAGCTAACAGAGTTGAACCTTTCTTTTGAGAGAGCAGTTTTGAAACACTCTTTTTGTGGAATCTGTAAGTGGATATTTGTCTAGCTTTGAGGATTTCGTTGGAAACGGGATTACATATAAAAAGCAGCCAGCAGCATTCCCAGAAACTTCTTTGTGAAGTTTGCATTCAAGTCACAGAGTTGAACATTCCATTTCATAGAGGAGGTTTGAAACACTCTTTTTGTAGTATCGGTATGTGGACATTTGGAGCGCTTTCAGGCCTATAGTGAAAAAGGAAATATCTTCCCCTGAAAACTAGACAGAAGCATTCTCAGAATCTTATTTGCGATGTCCGCCCTCAACTAACAGTGTTGAAGCTTTCTTTTGATAGAGCAGTTTTGAAACACTCTTTTTGTAAAATCTGCAAGAGGATATTTGGATAGCTTTGAGGATTTCGTTGGAAACGGGACTGTCTTCATATAAACTCTAGAGAGAAGCATTCTCAGAAGCTTCATTGGGATGTTTCAATTGAAGTCACAGTGTTGAACAGTCCCTTTCATAGAGCAGGTTTGAAACACTCTTTTTGTAGTATCTGGAAGTGGACATTTTGAGAGATCTCAGGACTACGGTGAAAAAGGAAATATCTTCCAATAAAAGCTAGATAGAAGCAATGTCAGAAACTTTTTCATCATGTGTCTACTCAGCTAACAGAGTTGAACCTTTCTTTTGAGAGAGCAGTTTTGAAACACTCTTTTTGTGGAATCTGCAAGTGGATATTTGTCTAGCTTTGAGGATTTCGTTGGAAACGGGATTACATATAAAAAGCAGACAGCAGCATTCCCAGAAACTTCTTTGTGAAGTTTGCATTCAAGTCACAGAGTTGAACATTCTCTTTCATAGAGCAGGTTTGAAACACTCTTTTTGTAGTATCTGGATGTGGACATTTGGAGCGCTTTCAGGCCTATGGTGAAAAAGGAAATATCTTCCCCTGAAAACTAGACAGAAGCATTCTCAGAATCTTATTTGTGATGTGCGCCCTCAACTAACAGTGTTGAAGCTTTCTTTTGATAGAGCAGTTTTGAAACACTCTTTTTGTAAAATCTGCAAGAGGATATTTGGATAGCTTTGAGGATTTCGTTGGAAACGGGATTGTCTCCATATAAACTCTAGACAGAAGCATTCTCAGAAGCTTCATTGGGATGTTTCAATTGAAGTCACAGTGTTGAACAGTCCCTTTCATAGAGCAGGTTTGAAACACTCTTTTTGTAGTATCTGGAAGTGGACATTTGGAGCGCTTTCAGGCCTATGGTTTAAAAGGAAATATCTTCCCCTGAAAACTAGACAGAAGCATTCTCAGAAACTTATTTGTGATGTGCGCCCTCAACTAACAGTGTTGAAGCTTTCTTTTGATAGAGCAGTTTTGAAACACTCTTTTTGTGGAATCTACAAGTGGATATTTGTCTAGCTTTGAGGATTTCGTTGGAAACGGGATTACATATAAAAAGCAGACAGCAGCATTCCCAGAAACTTCTTTGTGATGTTTGCATTCAAGTCACAGAGTGGAACATTCCCTTTCATAGAGCAGGTTTGAAACACTCTTTTTGTAGTATCTGGATGTGGACATTTGGAGCGCTTTCAGGCCTAAGGTGAAAAAGGAAATATCTTCCCCTGAAAACTAGACAGAAGCATTCTCAGAAACTTATTTGTGATGTGCGCCCTCAACTAACAGTGTTGAAGCTTTCTT
This sequence comes from Homo sapiens, assembly GCF_000001405.40. Lineage (NCBI taxonomy): Eukaryota > Metazoa > Chordata > Mammalia > Primates > Hominidae > Homo > Homo sapiens. The sequence continues at coordinate 133,311 of NT_187370.1, forward strand.
TTGATAGAGCAGTTTTGAAACACTCTTTTTGTGGAATCTGCAAGTGGATATTTGTCTAGCTTTGAGGATTTCGTTGGAAACGGGATTACAAATAAAAAGCAGACAGCAGCATTCCCAGAATCTTGTTTGTGATGTTTGCATTCAAGACACAGAGTTGAACATTCCCTTTCAGAGAGCAGGTTTGAAACACTCTTTTTATAGTATCTGGATGTGGACATTTGGAGCGCTTTCAGGCCTATGGTGAAAAAGGAAATATCTTCCCCTGAAAACTAGACAGAAGCATTCTCAAAATCTTATTTGTGATGTGCGCCCTCAACTAACAGTGTTGAAGCTTTCTTTTGATAGAGCAGTTTTGAAACACTCTTTTTGTAAAATCTGCAAGAGGATATTTGGATAGCTTTGAGGATTTCGTTGGAAACGGGATTGTCTTCATATAAACTCTAGACAGAAGCATTCTCAGAAGCTTCATTGGGATGTTTCAATTGAAGTCACAGTGTTGAACAGTCCCTTTCATAGAGCAGGTTTGAAACACTCTTTTTGTAGTATCTGGAAGTGGACATTTGGAGAGATCTCAGGAATACGGTGACAAAGGAAATATCTTCCAATAAAAGCTAGATAGAAGCAATGTCAGAAAATTTTTCATGATGTATCTACTCAGCTAACAGAGTTGAACCTTTCTTTTGATAAAGCAGTTTTGAAACACTCTTTTTATGGAATCTGCAAGTGGACATTTGTCTAGCTTTGAGGATTTCGTTGGAAACGGGATTACATATAAAAAGCAGACAGCAGCATTCCCAGAATCTTGTTTGTGGTGTTTGCATTCAAGTCACAGAGTTGAACATTCCCTTTCAGAGAGCAGGTTTGAAACACTCTTTTTATAGAATCTGGATGTGGACATTTGGAGCGCTTTCAGGCCTATGGTGAAAAAGGAAATATCTTCTCCTGAAAACTAGACAGAAGCATTCTCAGAATCTTATTTGTGATGTGCGCCCTCAACTAACAGTGTTGAAGCTTTCTTTTGATAGAGCAGTTTTGAAACACACTTTTTGTAAAATCTGCAAGAGGATATTTGGATAGCTTTGAGGATTTCATTGGAAACGGGATTGTCTTCATATAAACTCTAGACAGAAGCATTCTCAGAAGCTTCATTGGGATGTTTCAATTGAAGTCACAGTGTTGAACAGTCCCTTTCATAGAGCAGGTTTGAAACACTCTTTTTGTAGTATCTGGAAGTGGACATTTGGAGAGATCTCAGGACTACGGTGAAAAAGGAAATATCTTCCAATAAAAGCTAGATAGAAGCAATGTCAGAAACTTTTTCATGATGTATCTACTCAGCTAACAGAGTTGAACCTTTCTTTTGAGAGAGCAGTTTTGAAACACTCTTTTTGTGGAATCTGCAAGTGGATATTTGTCTAGCTTTGAGGATTTCGTTGGAAACGGGATTACGTATAAAAAGCAGACAACAGCATTCCCAGTAACTTCTTTGTGATGTTTGCATTCAAGTCACAGAGTTGAACATTCCCTTTCATAGAGCAGGTTTGAAACACTCTTTTTGTAGTATCTGGATGTGGACATTTGGAGCGCTTTCAGGCCTATGGTGAAAAAGGAAATATCTTCCCCTGAAAACTAGACAGAAGCATTCTCAGAAACTTATTTGTGATGTGCGCCCTCAACTAACAGTGTTGAACCTTTCTTTTGATAGAGCAGTTTTGAAACACTCTTTTTGTAATATCTGCAAGAGGATATTTGGATAGCATTGAGGATTTCGTTGGAAACGGGATTGTCATCATATAAACTCTAGACAGAAGCATTCTCAGAAGCTTCATTGGGATGTTTCAATTGAAGTCACAGTGTTGAACAGTCCCTTTCATAGAGCAGGTTTGAAACACTCTTTTTGTAGTATCTGGAAGTGGACATTTGGAGCGCTCTCAGAACTATGGTGAAAAAGGAATTATCTTCCAATAAAAGCTACATAGAAGCAATGTCAGAAACTTTTTCATGATGTATCTACTCAGCTAACAGAGTTGAAACTTTCCTTTGAGAGAGCAGTTTTGAAACACTCTTTTTGTGGAATCTGCAAGTGGAAATTTGTCTAGCTTTGAGGATTTCGTTGGAAACGGGATTACATATAAAAAGCAGACAGCAGCATTCCCAGTAACTTCTTTGTGATGTTTGCATTCAAGTCACAGAGATGAACATTCCCTTTCATAGAGCAGGTTTGAAACACTCTTTTTGTAGTATCTGGATGTGGACATTTGGAGCGCTTTCAGGCCTATGGTGAAAAAGGAAATATCTTCCCCTGAAAACTAGACAGAAGCATTCTCAGAAACTTATTTGTGATGTGCGCCCTCAACTAACAGTGTTGAAGCTTTCTTTTGATAGAGCAGTTTTGAAACACTCTTTTTGTAAAATCTGCAAGAGGATATTTGGATAGCTTTGAGGATTTCGTTGGAAACGGGATTGTCTTCATATAAACTCTAGACAGAAGCATTCTCAGAAGCTTCATTGGGATGTTTCAATTGAAGTCACAGTGTTGAACACTCCCTTTCATAGAGCAGGTTTGAATCACTCTTTTTGTAGTATCTGGAAGTGGACATTTGGAGCGCTCTCAGGACTACGGTGAAAAAGGAAATATCTTCTAATAAAAGCTACATAGAAGCAATGTCAGAAACTTTTTCATGATGTATCTACTCAGCTAACAGAGTTGAACCTTTCCTTTGAGAGAGCAGTTTTGAAACACTCTTTTTGTGGAATCTGCAAGTGGATATTTGTCTAGCTTTGAGGATTTCGTTGGAAACGGGATTACATATAAAAAGCAGACAGCAGCATTCCCAGAATCTTCTTTGTGATGTTTGCATTCAAGTCACAGAGTTGAACATTCCCTTTCAGAGAGCAGGTTTGAAACACTCTTTTTATAGAATCTGGATGTGGACATTTGGAGCGCTTTCAGGCCTATGGTGAAAAAGGAAATATCTTCTCCTGAAAACTAGACAGAAGCATTCTCAGAATCTTATTTGTGATGTGCGCCCTCAACTAACAGTGTTGAAGCTTTCTTTTGATAGAGCAGTTTTGAAACACACTTTTTGTAAAATCTGCAAGAGGATATTTGGATAGCTTTGAGGATTTCATTGGAAACGGGACTGTCTTCATATAAACTCTAGACAGAAGCATTCTCAGAAGCTTCATTGGGATGTTTCAATTGAAGTCACAGTGTTGAACAGTCCCTTTCATAGAGCAGGTTTGAAACACTCTTTTTGTAGTATCTGGAAGTGGACATTTGGAGAGATCTCAGGACTACGGTGAAAAAGGAAATATCTTCCAATAAAAGCTAGATAGAAGCAATGTCAGAAACTTTTTCATGATGTATCTACTCAGCTAACAGAGTTGAACCTTTCTTTTGAGAGAGCAGTTTTGAAACACTCTTTTTGTGGAATCTGCAAGTGGATATTTGTCTAGCTTTGAGGATTTCGTTGGAAACGGGATTACATATAAAAAGCAGACAGCAGCATTCCCAGTAACTTCTTTGTGATGTTTGCATTCAAGTCACAGAGTTGAACATTCCCTTTCATAGAGCAGGTTTGAAACACTCTTTTTGTAGTATCTGGATGTGGACATTTGGAGCGCTTTCAGGCCTATGGTGAAAAAGGAAATATCTTCCCCTGAAAACTAGACAGAAGCATTCTCAGAATCTTATTTGTGATGTGCGCCCTCAACTAACAGTGTTGAAGCTTTCTTTTGATAGAGCAGTTTTGAAACACTCTTTTTGTAAAATCTGCAAGAGGATATTTGGATAGCTTTGAGGATTTAATTGGTAACGGGATTGTCTTCATATAAACTCTAGACAGAAGCATTCTCAGAAGCTTCATTGGGATGTTTCAATTGAATTCACAGTGTTGAACAGTCCCTTTCATAGAGCAGGTTTGAAACACTCTTTTTGTAGTATCTTGAAGTGGACATTTGGAGCGCTCTCAGGACTGCGGTGAAAAAGGAAATATCTTCCAATAAAAGCTAGATGGAAGCAATGTCAGAAACTTTTTCATGATGTATCTACTCAGCTAACAGAGTTGAACCTTTCTTTTGAGAGAGCAGTTTTGAAACACTCTTTTTGTGGAATCTGCAAGTGGATACTTGTCTAGCTTTGAGGATTTCGTTGGAAACGGGATTACATATAAAAAGCAGGCAGCAGCATTCCCAGAAACTTCTTTGTGATGTTTGCATTCAAGTCACAGAGTTGAACATTCCCTTTCATAGAGCAGGTTTGAAACACTCTTTTTGTAGTATCTGGATGTGGACATTTGGAGCGCTTTCAGGCCTATGGTGAAAAAGGAAATATCTTCCCCTGAAAAGTAGACAGAAGCATTCTCAGAAATTTATTTGTGATGTGCGCCCTCAACTAACAGTGTTGAAGCTTTCTTTTGATAGAGCAGTTTTGAAACACTCTTTTTGTAAAATCTGCAAGAGGATATTTGGATAGCTTTGAGGATTTCGTTGGAAACGGGATTGTCTTCATATAAACTCTAGACAGAAGCATTCTCAGAAGCTTCATTGGGATGTTTCAATTGAAGTCACAGTGTTGAACAGTCCCTTTCATAGAGCAGGTTTGAAACACTCTTTTTGTAGTATCTGGAAGTGGACATTTGGAGCGCCCTCAGGACTACGGTGAAAAAGGAAATATCTTCCAATAAAAGCTACATAGAAGCAATGTCAGAAACTTTTTCATGATGTATCTACTCAGCTAATAGAGTTGAACCTTCCTTTGAGAGAGCAGTTTTGAAACACTCTTTTTGTGGAATCTGCAAGTGGATATTTGTCTAGCTTTGAGGATTTCGTTGGAAACGGGATTACATATAAAAAGCAGACAGCAGCATTCCCAGAAACTTCTTTGTGAAGTTTGCATTCAAGTCACAGAGTTGAACATTCCCTTTCATAGAGCAGGTTTGAAACACTATTTTTGTAGTATCTGTATGTGGACATTTGGAGCGCTTTCAGGCCTATGGTGAAAAAGGAAATATCTTCCCCTGAAAAGTAGACAGAAGCATTCTCAGAATCTTATTTGTGATGTGCGCCCTCAACTAACAGTGTTGAAGCTTTCTTTTGATAGAGCAGTTTTGAAACACTCTTTTTGTAAAATCTGCAAGAGGATATTTGGATAGCTTTGAGGATTTCATTGGAAACGGGATTGTCTTCATATAAACTCTAGACAGAAGCATTCTCAGAAGCTTCATTGGGATGTTTCAATTGAAGTCACAGTGTTGAACAGTCCCTTTCATAGAGCAGGTTTGAAACACTCTTTTTGTAGTATCTGGAAGTGGACATTTGGAGCGCTCTCAGGACTGCGGTGAAAAACGAAATATCTTCCAATAAAAGCTAGATAGAAGCAATGTCAGAAACTTTTTCATGATGTATCTACTCAGCTAACAGAGTTGAACCTTTCTTTTGAGAGAGCAGTTTTGAAACACTCTTTTTGTGGAATCTGCAACTGGATACTTGTCTAGCTTTGAGGATTTCGTTGGAAACGGGATTACATATAAAAAGCAGACAGCAGCATTCCCAGAAACTTCTTTGTGATGTTTGCATTCAAGTCACAGAGTTGAACATTCCCTTTCAGAGAGCAGGTTTGAAACACTCTTTTTATAGAATCTGGATGTGGACATTTGGAGCGCTTTCAGGCCTATGGTGAAAAAGGAAATATCTTCTCCTGAAAACTAGACAGAAGCATTCTCAGAATCTTATTTGTGATGTGCGCCCTCAACTAACAGTGTTGAAGCTTTCTTTTGATAGAGCAGTTTTGAAACACACTTTTTGTAAAATCTGCAAGAGGATATTTGGATAGCTTTGAGGATTTCATTGGAAACGGGACTGTCTTCATATAAACTCTAGACAGAAGCATTCTCAGAAGCTTCATTGGGATGTTTCAATTGAAGTCACAGTGTTGAACAGTCCCTTTCATAGAGCAGGTTTGAAACACTCTTTTTGTAGTATCTGGAAGTGGACATTTGGAGAGATCTCAGGACTACGGTGAAAAAGGAAATATCTTCCAATAAAAGCTAGATAGAAGCAATGTCAGAAACTTTTTCATGATGTATCTACTCAGCTAACAGAGTTGAACCTTTCTTTTGAGAGAGCAGTTTTGAAACACTCTTTTTGTGGAATCTGCAAGTGGATATTTGTCTAGCTTTGAGGATTTCGTTGGAAACGGGATTACATATAAAAAGCAGACAGCAGCATTCCCAGTAACTTCTTTGTGATGTTTGCATTCAAGTCACAGAGTTGAACATTCCCTTTCATAGAGCAGGTTTGAAACACTCTTTTTGTAGTATCTGGATGTGGACATTTGGAGCGCTTTCAGGCCTATGGTGAAAAAGGAAATATCTTCCCCTGAAAACTAGACAGAAGCATTCTCAGAATCTTATTTGTGATGTGCGCCCTCAACTAACAGTGTTGAAGCTTTCTTTTGATAGAGCAGTTTTGAAACACTCTTTTTGTAAAATCTGCAAGAGGATATTTGGATAGCTTTGAGGATTTAATTGGTAACGGGATTGTCTTCATATAAACTCTAGACAGAAGCATTCTCAGAAGCTTCATTGGGATGTTTCAATTGAATTCACAGTGTTGAACAGTCCCTTTCATAGAGCAGGTTTGAAACACTCTTTTTGTAGTATCTTGAAGTGGACATTTGGAGCGCTCTCAGGACTGCGGTGAAAAAGGAAATATCTTCCAATAAAAGCTAGATGGAAGCAATGTCAGAAACTTTTTCATGATGTATCTACTCAGCTAACAGAGTTGAACCTTTCTTTTGAGAGAGCAGTTTTGAAACACTCTTTTTGTGGAATCTGCAAGTGGATACTTGTCTAGCTTTGAGGATTTCGTTGGAAACGGGATTACATATAAAAAGCAGGCAGCAGCATTCCCAGAAACTTCTTTGTGATGTTTGCATTCAAGTCACAGAGTTGAACATTCCCTTTCATAGAGCAGGTTTGAAACACTCTTTTTGTAGTATCTGGATGTGGACATTTGGAGCGCTTTCAGGCCTATGGTGAAAAAGGAAATATCTTCCCCTGAAAAGTAGACAGAAGCATTCTCAGAAATTTATTTGTGATGTGCGCCCTCAACTAACAGTGTTGAAGCTTTCTTTTGATAGAGCAGTTTTGAAACACTCTTTTTGTAAAATCTGCAAGAGGATATTTGGATAGCTTTGAGGATTTCGTTGGAAACGGGATTGTCTTCATATAAACTCTAGACAGAAGCATTCTCAGAAGCTTCATTGGGATGTTTCAATTGAAGTCACAGTGTTGAACAGTCCCTTTCATAGAGCAGGTTTGAAACACTCTTTTTGTAGTATCTGGAAGTGGACATTTGGAGCGCCCTCAGGACTACGGTGAAAAAGGAAATATCTTCCAATAAAAGCTACATAGAAGCAATGTCAGAAACTTTTTCATGATGTATCTACTCAGCTAACAGAGTTGAACCTTCCTTTGAGAGAGCAGTTTTGAAACACTCTTTTTGTGGAATCTGCAAGTGGATATTTGTCTAGCTTTGAGGATTTCGTTGGAAACGGGATTACATATAAAAAGCAGACAGCAGCATTCCCAGAAACTTCTTTGTGAAGTTTGCATTCAAGTCACAGAGTTGAACATTCCCTTTCATAGAGCAGCTTTGAAACACTATTTTTGTAGTATCTGTATGTGGACATTTGGAGCGCTTTCAGGCCTATGGTGAAAAAGGAAATATCTTCCCCTGAAAAGTAGACAGAAGCATTCTCAGAATCTTATTTGTGATGTGCGCCCTCAACTAACAGTGTTGAAGCTTTCTTTTGATAGAGCAGTTTTGAAACACTCTTTTTGTAAAATCTGCAAGAGGATATTTGGATAGCTTTGAGGATTTCATTGGAAACGGGATTGTCTTCATATAAACTCTAGACAGAAGCATTCTCAGAAGCTTCATTGGGATGTTTCAATTGAAGTCACAGTGTTGAACAGTCCCTTTCATAGAGCAGGTTTGAAACACTCTTTTTGTAGTATCTGGAAGTGGACATTTGGAGCGCTCTCAGGACTGCGGTGAAAAAGGAAATATCTTCCAATAAAAGCTAGATAGAAGCAATGTCAGAAACTTTTTCATGATGTATCTACTCAGCTAACAGAGTTGAACCTTTCTTTTGAGAGAGCAGTTTTGAAACACTCTTTTTGTGGAATCTGCAACTGGATACTTGTCTAGCTTTGAGGATTTCGTTGGAAACGGGATTACATATAAAAAGCAGACAGCAGCATTCCCAGAAACTTCTTTGTGATGTTTGCATTCAAGTCACAGAGTTGAACATTCCCTTTCAGAGAGCAGGTTTGAAACACTCTTTTTATAGAATCTGGATGTGGACATTTGGAGCGCTTTCAGGCCTATGGTGAAAAAGGAAATATCTTCTCCTGAAAACTAGACAGAAGCATTCTCAGAATCTTATTTGTGATGTGCGCCCTCAACTAACAGTGTTGAAGCTTTCTTTTGATAGAGCAGTTTTGAAACACACTTTTTGTAAAATCTGCAAGAGGATATTTGGATAGCTTTGAGGATTTCATTGGAAACGGGACTGTCTTCATATAAACTCTAGACAGAAGCATTCTCAGAAGCTTCATTGGGATGTTTCAATTGAAGTCACAGTGTTGAACAGTCCCTTTCATAGAGCAGGTTTGAAACACTCTTTTTGTAGTATCTGGAAGTGGACATTTGGAGAGATCTCAGGACTACGGTGAAAAAGGAAATATCTTCCAATAAAAGCTAGATAGAAGCAATGTCAGAAACTTTTTCATGATGTATCTACTCAGCTAACAGAGTTGAACCTTTCTTTTGAGAGAGCAGTTTTGAAACACTCTTTTTGTGGAATCTGCAAGTGGATATTTGTCTAGCTTTGAGGATTTCGTTGGAAACGGGATTACATATAAAAAGCAGACAGCAGCATTCCCAGTAACTTCTTTGTGATGTTTGCATTCAAGTCACAGAGTTGAACATTCCCTTTCATAGAGCAGGTTTGAAACACTCTTTTTGTAGTATCTGGATGTGGACATTTGGAGCGCTTTCAGGCCTATGGTGAAAAAGGAAATATCTTCCCCTGAAAACTAGACAGAAGCATTCTCAGAATCTTATTTGTGATGTGCGCCCTCAACTAACAGTGTTGAAGCTTTCTTTTGATAGAGCAGTTTTGAAACACTCTTTTTGTAAAATCTGCAAGAGGATATTTGGATAGCTTTGAGGATTTAATTGGTAACGGGATTGTCTTCATATAAACTCTAGACAGAAGCATTCTCAGAAGCTTCATTGGGATGTTTCAATTGAATTCACAGTGTTGAACAGTCCCTTTCATAGAGCAGGTTTGAAACACTCTTTTTGTAGTATCTTGAAGTGGACATTTGGAGCGCTCTCAGGACTGCGGTGAAAAAGGAAATATCTTCCAATAAAAGCTAGATGGAAGCAATGTCAGAAACTTTTTCATGATGTATCTACTCAGCTAACAGAGTTGAACCTTTCTTTTGAGAGAGCAGTTTTGAAACACTCTTTTTGTGGAATCTGCAAGTGGATACTTGTCTAGCTTTGAGGATTTCGTTGGAAACGGGATTACATATAAAAAGCAGGCAGCAGCATTCCCAGAAACTTCTTTGTGATGTTTGCATTCAAGTCACAGAGTTGAACATTCCCTTTCATAGAGCAGGTTTGAAACACTCTTTTTGTAGTATCTGGATGTGGACATTTGGAGCGCTTTCAGGCCTATGGTGAAAAAGGAAATATCTTCCCCTGAAAAGTAGACAGAAGCATTCTCAGAAATTTATTTGTGATGTGCGCCCTCAACTAACAGTGTTGAAGCTTTCTTTTGATAGAGCAGTTTTGAAACACTCTTTTTGTAAAATCTGCAAGAGGATATTTGGATAGCTTTGAGGATTTCGTTGGAAACGGGATTGTCTTCATATAAACTCTAGACAGAAGCATTCTCAGAAGCTTCATTGGGATGTTTCAATTGAAGTCACAGTGTTGAACAGTCCCTTTCATAGAGCAGGTTTGAAACACTCTTTTTGTAGTATCTGGAAGTGGACATTTGGAGCGCCCTCAGGACTACGGTGAAAAAGGAAATATCTTCCAATAAAAGCTACATAGAAGCAATGTCAGAAACTTTTTCATGATGTATCTACTCAGCTAACAGAGTTGAACCTTCCTTTGAGAGAGCAGTTTTGAAACACTCTTTTTGTGGAATCTGCAAGTGGATATTTGTCTAGCTTTGAGGATTTCGTTGGAAACGGGATTACATATAAAAAGCAGACAGCAGCATTCCCAGAAACTTCTTTGTGAAGTTTGCATTCAAGTCACAGAGTTGAACATTCCCTTTCATAGAGCAGGTTTGAAACACTCTTTTTGTAGTATCTGGATGTGGACATTTGGAGCACTTTCAGGCCTATGGTGAAAAAGGAAATATCTTCCCCTGAAAACTAGACAGAAGCATTCTCAGCATCTTATTTGTGTTGTGCGCCCTCAACTAACAGTGTTGAAGCTTTCTTTTGATAGAGCAGCTTTGAAACACTCTTTTTGTAAAATCTGCAAGAGGATATTTGGATAGCTTTGAGGATTTCATTGGAAACGGGATTGTCTTCATATAAACTCTAGACAGAAGCATTCTCAGAAGCTTCATTGGGATGTTTCAATTGAAGTCACAGTGTTGAACAGTCCCTTTCATAGAGCAGGTTTGAAACACTCTTTTTGTAGTATCTGGATGTGGACATTTGGAGCGCTTTCAGGCCTTTGGTGAAAAAGGAAATATCTTCCCCTGAAAACTAGACAGAAGCATTCTCAGAATCTTATTTGTGATGTGGGCCCTCAACTAACAGTGTTGAAGCTTTCTTTTGATAGAGCAGTTTTGAAACACTCTTTTTGTAAAATCTGCAAGTGGATATTTGGATAGCTTTGAGGATTTCGTTGGAAACGGGATTGTCTTCATATAAACTCTAGACAGAAGCATTCTCAGAAGCTTCATTGGGATGTTTCAACTGAAGTCACAGTGTTGAACAGTCCCTTTCATAGAGCAGGTTTGAAACACTCTTTTTGTAGTATCTGGAAGTGGACATTTGGAGAGATCTCAGGAATACGGTGATAAAGGAAATATCTTCCAATAAAAGCTAGATAGAAGCAATGTCAGAAACTTTTTCATGATGTATCTACTCAGCTAACAGAGTTGAACCTTTCTTTTGAGAGAGCAGTTTTGAAACACTCTTTTTGTGGAATCTGCAAGTGGATATTTGTCTAGCTTTGAGGATTTCGTTGGAAACGGGATTACATATAAAAAGCAGACAGCAGCATTCCCAGAAACTTCTTTGTGATGTTTGCATTCAAGTCACAGAGTTGAACATTCCCTTTCATAGAGCAGGTTTGAAACACTCTTTCTGTAGTATCTGGATGTGGACATTTGGAGCGCTTTCAGGCCTATGGTGAAAAAGGAAATATCTTCCCCTGAAAACTAGACAGAAGCATTCTCAGAATCTTATTTGTGATGTGCGCCCTCAACTAACAGTGTTGAAGCTTTCTTTTGATAGAGCAGTTTTGAAACACTCTTTTTGTAAAATCTGCAAGAGGATATTTGGATAGCTTTGAGGATTTCTTTGGAAACGGGATTGTCTTCATATAAACTCTAGACAGAAGCATTCTCAGAAGCTTCATTGGGATGTTTCAATTGAAGTCACAGTGTTGAACAGTCCCTTTCATAGAGCAGGTTTGAAACACTCTTTTTGTAGTATCTGGATGTGGACATTTGGAGCGCTTTCAGGCCTATGGTGAAAAAGGAAATATCTTCCCCTGAAAACTAGACAGAAGCATTCTCAGAAACTTATTTGTGATGTGCGCCCTCAACTAACAGTGTTGAAGCTTTCTTTTGATAGAGCAGTTTTGAAACACTCTTTTTGTGGAATCTGCAAGTGGATATTTGTCTAGCTTTGAGGATTTCGTTGGAAACGGGATTACATATAAAAAGCAGACAGCAGCATTCCCAGAAACTTCTTTGTGATGTTTGCATTCAAGTCACAGAGTTGAACATTCCCTTTCATAGAGCAGGTTTGAAACACTCTTTTTGTAGTATCTGGATGTGGACATTTGGAGCGCTTTCAGGCCTATGGTGAAAAAGGAAATATCTTCCCCTGAAAACTAGACAGAAGCATTCTCAGAATCTTATTTGTGATGTGCGCCCTCAACTAACAGTGTTGAAGCTTTCTTTTGATAGAGCAGTTTTGAAACACTCTTTTTGTAAAATCTGCAAGAGGATATTTGGGTAGCTTTGAGGATTTCTTTGGAAACGGGATTGTCTTCATATAAACTCTAGACAGAAGCATTCTCAGAAGCTTCATTGGGATGTTTCAATTGAAGTCACAGTGTTGAACAGTCCCTTTCATAGAGCAGGTTTGAAACACTCTTTTTGTAGTATCTGGAAGTGGACATTTGGAGAGATCTCAGGAATACGGTGATAAAGGAAATATCTTCCAATAAAAGCTAGATAGAAGCAATGTCAGAAACTTTTTCATGATGTATCTACTCAGCTAACAGAGTTGAACCTTTCTTTTGAGAGAGCAGTTTTGAAACACTCTTTTTGTGGAATCTGCAAGTGGATATTTGTCTAGCTTTGAGGATTTCGTTGGAAACGGGATTACATATAAAAAGCAGACAGCAGCATTCCCAGAAATTTCTTTGTGATGTTTGCATTCAAGTCACAGAGTTGAACATTCCCTTTCATACAGCAGGTTTGAAACACTCTTTTTGTAGTATCTGTATGTGGACATTTGGAGCGCTTTCAGGCCTATGGTGAAAAAGGAAATATCTTCCCCTGAAAACTAGACAGAAGCATTCTCAGAAACTTATTTGTGATGTGCGCCCTCAACTAACAGTGTTGAAGCTTTCTTTTGGTAGAGCAGTTTTGAAACACTCATTTTGTGGAATCTGCAAGTGGATATTTGTCTAGCTTTGAGGATTTCGTTGGAAACGGGATTACATATAAAAAGCAGACAGCAGCATTCCCAGAAACTTCTTTGTGATGTTTGCATTCAAGTCACAGAGTTGAACATTCCCTTTCATAGAGCAGGTTTAAAACACTCTTTTTGTAGTATCTGGATGTGGACATTTTGAGCGCTTTCAGGCCTATGGTGAAAAAGGAAATATCTTCCCCTGGAAACTAGACAGAAGCATTCTCAGAATCTTATTTGTGATGTGCGCCCTCAACTAACAGTGTTGAAGCTTTCTTTTGATAGAGCAGTTTTGAAACACTCTTTTTGTAAAATCTGCAAGAGGATATTTGGATAGCTTTGAGGATTTCGTTGTAAACGGAATTGTCTTCATATAAACTCTAGACAGAAGCATTCTCAGAAGCTTCATTGGGATGTTTCAATTGAAGTCACAGTGTTGAACAGTCCCTTTCATAGAGCAGGTTTGAAACACTCTTTTTGTAGTATCTGGAAGTGGACATTTGGAGAGATCTCAGGACTACGGTGAAAAAGGAAATACCTTCCAATAAAAGCTAGATAGAAGAAATGTCAGAAACTTTTTCATGATGTATCTACTCAGCTAACAGAGTTGAACCTTTCTTTTGAGAGAGCAGTTTTGAAACACTCTTTTTGTGGAATCTGCAAGTGGATATTTGTCTAGCTTTGAGGATTTCGTTGGAAACGGGATTACATATAAAAAGCAGACAGCAGCATTCCCAGAAACTTCTTTGTGATGTTTGCATTCAAGTCACAGAGTTGAACATTCCCTTTCATAGAGCAGGTTTGAAACACTCTTTTTGTAGTATCTGGATGTGGACATTTGGAGCGCGTTCAGGCCTACGGTGAAAAAGGAAATATCTTCCCCTGAAAACTAGACAGAAGCATTCTCAGAATCTTATTTGTGATGTGCGCCCTCAACTAACAGTGTTGAAGCTTTCTTTTGATAGAGCAGTTTTGAAACACTCTTTTTGTAAAATCTGCAAGAGGATATTTGGATAGCTTTGAGGATTTCGTTGGAAACTTGATTGTCTTCATATAAACTCTAGACAGAAGCATTCTCAGAAGCTTCATTGGGATGTTTCAATTGAAGTCACAGTGTTGAACAGTCCCTTTCATAGAGCAGGTTTGAAACACTCTTTTTGTAGTATCTGGAAGTGGACATTTGGAGCGCTCTCAGTACTACGGTGAAAAAGGAAATATCTTCCAATAAAAGCTACATAGAAGCAATGTCAGAAACTTTTTCATGATGTATCTACTCAGCTAACAGAGTTGAACCTTTCTTTTGAGAGAGCAGTTTTGAAACACTCTTTTGGTGGAATCTGCAAGTGGATATTTGTCTACCTTTGAGGATTTCGTTGGAAACGGGATTACATATAAAAAGCAGACAGCAGCATTCCCAGTAACTTCTTTGTGATGTTTGCATTCAAGTCACAGAGTTGAACATTCCCTTTCATAGAGCAGGTTTGAAACACTCTTTTTGTAGTATCTGGATGTGGACATTTGGAGCGCTTTCAGGCCTATGGTGAAAAAGGAAATATCTTCCCCTGAAAACTAGACAGAAGCATTCTCAGAATCTTATTTGTGATGTGCGCCCTCAACTAACAGTGTTGAAGCTTTCTTTTGATAGAGCAGTTTTGAAACACTCTTTTTGTAAAATCTGCAAGAGGATATTTGGATAGCTTTGAGGATTTCGTTGGAAACGGGATTGTCTTCATATAAACTCTAGACAGAAGCATTCTCAGAAGCTTCATTGGGATGTTTCAATTGAAGTCACAGTGTTGAACAGTCCCTTTCATAGAGCAGGTTTGAAACACTCTTTTTGTAGTATCTGGATGTGGTCATTTGGAGCGCTTTCAGGCCTATGGTGAAAAAGGAAATATCTTCCCCTGAAAACTAGACAGAAGCATTCTCAGAAACTTATTTGTGATGTGCGCCCTCAACTAACAGTGTTGAATCTTTCTTTTGATCGAGGAGTTTTGAAACACTCTTTTTGTGGAATCTGGAAGTGGATATTTGTCTAGCTTTGAGGATTTCGTTGGAAACGGGATTACATATAAAAAGCAGACAGCAGCATTCCCAGAATCTTCTTTGTGATGTTTGCATTCAAGTCACAGAGTTGAACATTCCCTTTCATAGAGCAGGTTTGATACACTCTTTTTATAGTATCTGGATGTGGACATTTGGATCGCTTTCAGGCCTATGGTGAAAAAGGAAATATCTTCTCCTGAAAACTAGACAGAAGCATTCTCAGAATCTTATTTGTGATGTGCGCCCTCAACTAACAGTGTTGAAGCTTTCTTTTCATAAAGCAGTTTTGAAACACTCTTTTTGTAAAATCAGCAAGAGGATATTTGGATAGCTTTGAGGATTTCATTGGAAACGGGATTTTCCTCATATAAACTCTAGACAGAAGCATTCTCAGAAGCTTCATTGGGATGTTTCAATTGAAGTCACAGTGTTGAACAGTCCCTTTCATAGAGCAGGTTTGAAACACTCTTTTTGTAGTATCTGGAAGTGGACATTTGGAGCGCTCTCCGGACTACGGTTAAAAAGGAAATATCTTCCAATAAAAGCTACATAGAAGCAATGTCAGAAACTTTTTCATGATGTATCTACTCAGCTAACAGAGTTGAACCTTTCTTTTGAGAGAGCAGTTTTGAAACACTCTTTTTGTGGAATCTGCAAGTGGATATTTGTCTAGCTTTGAGGATTTCGTTGGAAACGGGATTACATATAAAAAGCAGACAGCAGCATTCCCAGTAACTTCTTTGTGATGTTTGCATTCAAGTCACAGAGTTGAACATTCCCTTTCATAGAGCAGGTTTGAAACACTCTTTTTGTAGTATCTGGATGTGGACATTTGGAGCGCTTTCAGGCCTATGGTGAAAAAGGAAATATCTTCCCCTGAAAACTAGACAGAAGCATTCTCAGAATCTTATTTGTGATGTGCGCCCTCAACTAACAGTGTTGAAGCTTTCTTTTGATAGAGCAGTTTTGAAACACTCTTTTTGTAAAATCTGCAAGAGGATATTTGGATAGCTTTGAGGATTTCGTTGGAAACGGGATTGTCTTCATATAAACTCTAGACAGAAGCGTTCTCAGAAGCTTCATTGGGATGTTTCAATTGAAGTCACAGTGTTGAACAGTCCCTTTCATGGAGCAGGTTTAAAACACTCTTTTTGTAGTATCTGGAAGTGGACATTTGGAGAGATCTCAGGAATACGGTGATAAAGGAAATATCTTCCAATAAAAGCTAGATAGAAGCAATGTCAGAAACTTTTTCATGATGTATCTACTCAGCTAACAGAGTTGAACCTTTCTTTTGAGAGAGCAGTTTTGAAACACTCTTTTTGTGGAATCTGCAAGTGGATATTTGTCTAGCTTTGAGGATTTCATTGGAAACGGGATTACATATAAAAAGCAGACAGCAGCATTCCCAGAAACTTCTTTGTGATGTTTGCATTCAAGTCACAGAGTTGAACATTCCCTTTCATAGAGCAGGTTTGAAACACTCTTTTTGTAGTATCTGTATGTGGACATTTGGAGCGCTTTCAGGCCTATGGTGAAAAAGGAAATATCTTCCCCTGAAAACTAGACAGAAGCATTCTCAGAATCTTATTTGTGATGTGCGCCCTCAACTAACAGTGTTGAAGCTTTCTTTTGATAGAGCAGTTTTGAAACACTCTTTTTGTAAAATCTGCAAGAGGATATTTGGATAGCTTTGAGGATTTCGTTGGAAACGGGATTGTCTTCATATAAACTCTAGACAGAAGCATTCTCAGAAGCTTCATTGGGATGTTTCAATTGAAGTCACAGTGTTGAACAGTCCCTTTCATAGAGCAGGTTTGAAACACTCTTTTTGTAGTATCTGGATGTGGACATTTGGAGCGCTTTCAGGCCTATGGTGAAAAAGGAAATATCTTCCCCTGAAAACTAGACAGAAGCATTCTCAGAAACTTACTTGTGATGTGCGCCCTCAACTAACAGTGTTGAAGCTTTCTTTTGATAGAGCAGTTTTGAAACACTCTTTTTGTGGAATCTGCAAGTGGATATTTGTCTAGTTTTGAGGATTTCGTTGGAAACGGGATTACATATAAAAAGCAGACAGCAGCATTCCCAGAAACTTCTTTGTGATGTTTGCATTCAAGTCACAGAGTTGAACATTCCCCTTCATAGAGCAGGTTTGAAACACTCTTTTTGTAGTATCTGGATGTGGACATTTGGAGCGCTTTCAGGCCTATGGTGAAAAAGGAAATATCTTCCCCTGAAAACAAGACAGAAGCATTCTCAGAAACTTATTTGTGATGTGCGCCCTCAACTAACAGTGTTGAACCTTTCTTTTGATAGAGCAGTTTTGAAACACTCTTTTTGTAATATCTGCAAGAGGATATTTGGATAGCTTTGAGGATTTCGTTGGAAACGGGATTGTCTTCATATAAACTCTAGACAGAAGCATTCTCAGAAGCTTCATTGGGATGTTTCAATTGAAGTCACAGTGTTGAACAGTCCCTTTCATACAGCAGGTTTGATACACTCTTTTTGTTGTATCTGGAAGTGGACGTTTGCAGAGATCTCAGGAATACGGTGACAAAGGAAATATCTTCCAATAAAAGCTAGATAGAAGCAATGTCAGAAAATTTTTCATGATGTATCTACTCAGCTAACAGAGTTGAACCTTCCTTTTGAGAGAGCAGTTTTGAAACACTCTTTTTGTGGAATCTGCAAGTGGATATTTGTCTAGCTTTGAGGATTTCGTTGGAAACGGGATTACATATAAAAAGCAGACAGCAGCATTCCCAGAATCTTCTTTGTGATGTTTGCATTCAAGTCACAGAGTTGAACATTCCCTTTCATAGAGCAGGTTTGATACACTCTTTTTATAGTATCTGGATGTGGACATTTGGATCGCTTGCAGGCCTATGGTGAAAAAGGAAATATCTTCTCCTGAAAACTAGACAGAAGCATTCTCAGAATCTTATTTGTGATGTGCGCCCTCAACTAACAGTGTTGAAGCTTTCTTTTGATAAAGCAGTTTTGAAACACTCTTTTTGTAAAATCTGCAAGAGGATATTTGGATAGCTTTGAGGATTTCATTGGAAACGGGATTTTCTTCATATAAACTCTAGACAGAAGCATTCTCAGAAGCTTCATTGGGATGTTTCAATTGAAGTCACAGTGTTGAACAGTCCCTTTCATAGAGCAGGTTTGAAACACTCTTTTTGTAGTATCTGGAAGTGGACATTTGGAGAGATCTCAGGAATACGGTGATAAAGGAAATATCTTCCAATAAAAGCTACATAGAAGCAATGTCAGAAACTTTTTCATGATGTATCTACTCAGCTAACAGAGTTGAACCTTTCTTTTGAGAGAGCAGTTTTGAAACACTCTTTTTGTGGAATCTGCAAGTGGATATTTGTCTAGTTTTCAGGATTTCGTTGGAAACGGGATTACATATAAAAAGCAGACAGCAGCATTCCCAGAAACTTCTTTGTGATGTTTGCATTCAAGTCACAGAGTTGAACATTCCCTTTCATAGAGCAGGTTTGAAACACTCTTTTTGTAGTATCTGGATGTGGACATTTGGAGCGCTTTCAGGCCTATGGTGAAAAAGGAAATATCTTCCCCTGAAAACTAGACAGAAGCATTCTCAGAATCTTATTTGTGATGTGCGCCCTCAACTAACAGTGTTGAAGCTTTCTTTTGATAGAGCAGTTTTGAAACACTCTTTTTGTAAAATCTGCAAGAGGATATTTGGATAGCTTTGAGGATTTCTTTGGAAACGGGATTGTCTTCATATAAACTCTAGACAGAAGCATTCTCAGAAGCTTCATTGGGATGTTTCAATTGAAGTCACAGTGTTGAACAGTCCCTTTCATAGAGCAGGTTTGAAACACTCTTTTTGTAGTATCTGGATGTGGACATTTGGAGCGCTTTCAGGCCTATGGTGAAAAAGGAAATATCTTCCCCTGAAAACTAGACAGAAGCATTCTCAGAAACTTACTTGTGATGTGCGCCCTCAACTAACAGTGTTGAAGCTTTCTTTTGATAGAGTAGTTTTGAAACACTCTTTTTGTGGAATCTGCAAGTGGATATTTGTCTAGCTTTGAGGATTTCGTTGGAAACGGGATTACATATAAAAAGCAGACAGCAGCATTCCCAGAAACTTCTTTGTGATGTTTGCATTCAAGTCACAGAGTTGAACATTCCCTTTCATAGAGCAGGTTTGAAACACTCTTTTTGTAGTATCTGGATGTGGACATTTGGAGCCCTTTCAGGCCTATGGTGAAAAAGGAAATATCTTCCCCTGAAAACAAGACAGAAGCATTCTCAGAACTTATTTGTGATGTGCGCCCTCAACTAACAGTGTTGAACCTTTCTTTTGATAGAGCAGTTTTGAAACACTCTTTTTGTAAAATCTGCAAGAGGATATTTGGATAGCTTTGAGGATTTCGTTGGAAACCGGATTGTCTTCATATAAACTCTAGACAGAAGCATTCTCAGAAGCTTCATTGGGATGTTTCAATTGAAGTCACAGTGTTGAACAGTCCCTTTCATAGAGCAGGTTTGAAACACTCTTTTTGTAGTATCTGGAAGTGGACATTAGGAGTGCTCTCAGGACTGCGGTGAAAAAGGAAGTATCTTCAAATAAAAGCTAGATAGAAGCAATGTCAGAAACTTTTTCATGATGTATCCACTCAGCTAACAGAGTTGAACCTTTCTTTTGAGAGAGCAGTTTTGAAACACTCTTTTTGTGGAATCTGCAAGTGGATATTTGTCTAGCTTTGAGGATTTCGTTGGAAACGGGATTACATATAAAAAGCACACAGCAGCATTCCCAGAAACTTCTTTGTGATGTTTGCATTCAAGTCACAGAGTTGAACATTCCCTTTCATAGAGCAGGTTTGAAACACTCTTTTTGTAGTATCTGGATGTGGACATTTGGAGCGCTTTCAGGCCTATGGTGAAAAAGGAAATATCTTCCCCTGAAAACTAGACAGAAGCATTCTCAGAAACTTATTTGTGATGTGCGCCCTCAACTAACAGTCTTGAAGCTTTCTTTTGATAGAGCAGTTTTGAAACACTCTTTTTGTAATATCTGCAAGAGGATATTTGGATAGCTTTGAGGATTTCGTTGGAAACGGGATTGTCTTCATATAAACTCTAGACAGAAGCATTCTCAGAAGCTTCATTGGGATGTTTCAATTGAAGTCACAGTGTTGAACAGTCCCTTTCATAGAGCAGGTTTGAAACACTCTTTTTGTAGTATCTGGAAGTGGACATTTGGAGAGATCTCAGGAATAAGGTGACAAAGGAAATATCTTCCAATAAAAGCTAGATAGAAGCAATGTCAGAAAATTTTTCATGATGTATCTACTCAGCTAACAGAGTTGAACCTTTCTTTTGAGAGAGCAGTTTTGAAACACTCTTTTTGTGGAATCTGCAAGTGGATATTTGTCTAGCTTTGAGGATTTCGTTGGAAACGGGATTACATATAAAAAGCAGACAGCAGCATTCCCAGTAACTCCTTTGTGATGTTTGCATTCAAGTCACAGTGTTGAACATTCCCTTTCATAGAGCAGGTTTGAAACACTCTTTTTGTAGTATCTGGATGTGGACATTTGGAGCGCTTTGAGGCCTATGGTGAAAAAGGAAATATCTTCCCCTGAAAACTAGACAGAAGAATTCTCAGAATCTTATTTGTGATGTGCGCCCTCAACTAACAGTGTTGAAGCTTTCTTTTGATAGAGCAGTTTTGAAACACTCTTTTTGTAAAATCTGCAAGAGGATATTTGGATAGCTTTGAGGATTTCGTTGGAAACGGGATTGTCTTCATATAAACTCTAGACAGAAGCATTCTCAGAAGCTTCATTGGGATGTTTCAATTGAAGTCACAGTGTTGAACAGTCCCTTTCATAGAGCAGGTTTGAAACACTCTTTTTGTAGTATCTGGATGTGGACATTTGGAGCGCTTTCAGGCCTATGGTGAAAAAGGAAATATCTTCCCCTGAAAACTAGACAGAAGCATTCTCAGAAACTTATTTGTGATGTGCGCCCTCAACTAACAGTGTTGAAGCTTTCTTTTGATAGAGCAGTTTTGAAACACTCTTTTTGGGGAATCTGCAAGTGGATATTTGTCTAGCTTTGAGGATTTCGTTGGAAACGGGATTACATATAAAAAGCAGACAGCAGAATTCCCAGAATCTTCTTTGTGATGTTTGCATTCAAGTCACAGAGTTGAACATTCCCTTTCATAGGGCAGGTTTGAAACACTCTTTTTGTAGTATCTGGATGTGGACATTTGGAGCGCTTTCAGGCCTATGGTGAAAAAGGAAATATCTTCCCCTGAAAACTAGACAGAAGCATTCTCAGAATCTTATTTGTGATGTGCGCCCTCAACTAACAGTGTTGAAGCTTTCTTTTGATAGAGCAGTTTTGAAACACTCTTTTTGTAAAATCTGCAAGAGGATATTTGGATAGCTTTGAGGATTTCGTTGGAAACGGGATTGTCTTCATATAAACTCTAGCCAGAAGCATTCTCAGAAGCTTCATTGGGATGTTTCAATTGAAGTCACAGTGTTGAACAGTACCTTTCATAGAGCAGGTTTGAAACACTCTTTTTGTAGTATCTGGAATTGGACATTTGGAGAGATCTCAGGAATACGGTGATAAAGGAAATATCTTCCAATAAAAGCTAGATAGAAGCAATGTCAGAAACTTTTTCATGATGTATCTACTCAGCTAACAGAGTTGAACCTTTCTTTTGAGAGAGCAGTTTTGAAACACTCTTTTTGTGGAATCTGCAAGTGGATATTTGTCTAGCTTTGAGGATTTCGTTGGAAACGGGATTACATATAAAAAGCAGACAGCAGCATTCCCAGAAACTTCTTTGTGATGTTTGCATTCAAGTCACAGAGTTGAACATTCCCTTTCATAGAGCAGGTTTGAAACACTCTTTTTGTAGTATCTGGATGTGGACATTTGGAGCGCTTTCAGGCCTATGGTGAAAAAGGAAATATCTTCCCCTGAAAACTAGACAGAAGCATTCTCAGAAACTTAATTGTGATGTGCGCCCTCAACTAACAGTCTTGAAGCTTTCTTTTGATAGAGCAGTTTTGAAACACTCTTTTTGTAATATCTGCAAGAGGATATTTGGATAGCTTTGAGGATTTCGTTGGAAACGGGATTGTCTTCATATAAACTCTAGACAGAAGCATTCTCAGAAGCTTCATTGGGATGTTTCAATTGAAGTCACAGTGTTGAACAGTCCCTTTCATAGAGCAGGTTTGAAACACTCTTTTTGTAGTATCTAGAAGTGGACATTTGGAGAGATCTCAGGAATAAGGTGACAAAGGAAATATCTTCCAATAAAAGCTAGATAGAAGCAATGTCAGAAAATTTTTCATGATGTATCTACTCAGCTAACAGAGTTGAACCTTTCTTTTGAGAGAGCAGTTTTGAAACACTCTTTTTGTGGAATCTGCAAGTGGATATTTGTCTAGCTTTGAGGATTTCGTTGGAAACGGGATTACATATAAAAAGCAGACAGCAGCATTCCCAGTAACTTCTTTGTGATGTTTGCATTCAAGTCACAGAGTTGAACATTCCCTTTCATAGAGCAGGTTTGAAACACTCTTTTTGTAGTATCTGGATGTGGACATTTGGAGCGCTTTCAGGCCTATGGTGAAAAAGGAAATATCTTCCCCTGAAAACTAGACAGAAGAATTCTCAGAATCTTATTTGTGATGTGCGCCCTCAACTAACAGTGTTGAAGCTTTCTTTTGATAGAGCAGTTTTGAAACACTCTTTTTGTAAAATCTGCAAGAGGATATTTGGATAGCTTTGAGGATTTCGTTGGAAACGGGATTGTCTTCATATAAACTCTAGACAAAAGCATTCTCAGAAGCTTCATTGGGATGTTTCAATTGAAGTCACAGTGTTGAACAGTCCCTTTCATAGAGCAGGTTTGAAACACTCTTTTTGTAGTATCTGGATGTGGACATTTGGAGCGCTTTCAGGCCTATGGTGAAAAAGCAAATATCTTCCCCTGAAAACTAGACAGAAGAATTCTCAGAAACTTATTTGTGATGTGCGCCCTCAACTAACAGTGTTGAAGCTTTCTTTTGATAGAGCAGTTTTGAAACACTCTTTTTGTGGAATCTGCAAGTGGATATTTGTCTAGCTTTGAGGATTTCGTTGGAAACGGGATTACATATAAAAAGCAGACAGCAGCATTCCCAGAATCTTCTTTGTGATGTTTGCATTAAAGTCACAGAGTTGAACATTCCCTTTCATAGGGCAGGTTTGAAACACTCTTTTTGTAGTATCTGGATGTGGACATTTGGAGCGCTTTCAGGCCTATGGTGAAAAAGGAAATATCTTCCCCTGAAAACTAGACAGAAGCATTCTCAGAATCTTATTTGTGATGTGCGCCCTCAACTAACAGTGTTGAAGCTTTCTTTTGATAGAGCAGTTTTGAAACACTCTTTTTGTAAAATCTGCAAGAGGATATTTGGATAGCTTTGAGGATTTCGTTGGAAACGGGATTGTCTTCATATAAACTCTAGCCAGAAGCATTCTCAGAAGCTTCATTGGGATGTTTCAATTGAAGTCACAGTGTTGAACAGTACCTTTCATAGAGCAGGTTTGAAACACTCTTTTTGTAGTATCTGGAAGTGGACATTTGGAGAGATCTCAGGAATACGGTGATAAAGGAAATATCTTCCAATAAAAGCTAGATAGAAGCAATGTCAGAAACTTTTTCATGATGTATCTACTCAGCTAACAGAGTTGAACCTTTCTTTTGAGAGAGCAGTTTTGAAACACTCTTTTTGTGGAATCTGCAAGTGGATATTTGTCTAGCTTTGAGGATTTCGTTGGAAACGGGATTACATATAAAAAGCAGACAGCAGCATTCCCAGAAACTTCTTTGTGATGTTTGCATTCAAGTCACAGAGTTGAACATTCCCTTTCATAGAGCAGGTTTGAAACACTCTTTTTGTAGTATCTGGATGTGGACATTTGGAGCGCTTTCAGGCCTATGGTGAAAAAGGAAATATCTTCCCCTGAAAACTAGACAGAAGCATTCTCAGAAACTTAATTGTGATGTGCGCCCTCAACTAACAGTCTTGAAGCTTTCTTTTGATAGAGCAGTTTTGAAACACTCTTTTTGTAAAATCTGCAAGAGGATATTTGGATAGCTTTGAGGATTTCGTTGGAAACGGGATTGTCTTCATATAAACTCTAGACAGAAGCATTCTCAGAAGCTTCATTGGGATGTTTCAATTGAAGTCACAGTGTTGAACAGTCCCTTTCATAGAGCAGGTTTGAAACACTCTTTTTGTAGTATCTGGAAGTGGACATTTGGAGAGATCTCAGGAATAAGGTGACAAAGGAAATATCTTCCAATAAAAGCTAGATAGAAGCAATGTCAGAAAATTTTTCATGATGTATCTACTCAGCTAACAGAGTTGAACCTTTCTTTTGAGAGAGCAGTTTTGAAACACTCTTTTTGTGGAATCTGCAAGTGGATATTTGTCTAGCTTTGAGGATTTCGTTGGAAACGGGATTACATATAAAAAGCAGATAGCAGCATTCCCAGTAACTTCTTTGTGATGTTTGCATTCAAGTCACAGAGTTGAACATTCCCTTTCATAGAGCAGGTTTGAAACACTCTTTTTGTAGTATCTGGATGTGGACATTTGGAGCGCTTTCAGGCCTATGGTGAAAAAGGAAATATCTTCCCCTGAAAACTAGACAGAAGCATTCTCAGAATCTTATTTGTGATGTGCGCCCTCAACTAACAGTGTTGAAGCTTTCTTTTGATAGAGCAGTTTTCAAACACTCTTTTTGTAAAATCTGCAAGAGGATATTTGGATAGCTTTGAGGATTTCGTTGGAAACGGGATTGTCTTCATATAAACTCTAGCCAGAGGCATTCTCAGAAGCTTCATTGGGATGTTTCAATTGAAGTCACAGTGTTGAACAGTCCCTTTCATAGAGCAGGTTTGAAACACTCTTTTTGTAGTATCTGTATGTGGACATTTGGAGCGCTTTCAGGCCTATGGTGAAAAAGGAAATATCTTCCCCTGAAAACTAGACAGAAGCATTCTCAGAATCTTATTTGTGATGTGCGCCCTCAACTAACAGTGTTGAAGCTTTCTTTTGATAGAGCAGTTTTGAAACACTCTTTTTGTGGAATCTGCAAGTGGATATTTGTCTAGCTTTGAGGATTTCGTTGGAAACGGGATTACATATAAAAAGCAGACAGCAGCATTCCCAGAATCTTGTTTGTGATGTTTGCATTCAAGTCACAGAGTTGAACATTCCCTTTCAGAGAGCAGGTTTGAAACACTCTTTTTATAGTATCTGGATGTGGACATTTGGAGCGCTTTCAGGCCTATGGTGAAAAAGGAAATATCTTCTCCTGAAAACTAGACAGAAGCGTTCTCAGAATCTTATTTGTGATGTGCGCCCTCAACTAACAGTGTTGAAGCTTTCTTTTGATAGAGCAGTTTTGAAACACTCTTTTCGTAAAATCTGCAAGAGGATATTTGGATGGCTTTGAGGATTTCGTTGGAAACGGGATTGTCTTCATATAAACTCTAGACAGAAGCATTCTCAGAAGCTTCATTGGGATGTTTCAATTGAAGTCACAGTGTTGAACAGTCCCTTTCATAGAGCAGGTTTGAAACACTCTTTTTGTAGTATCTGGAAGTGGACATTTGGAGAGATCTCAGGAATACGGTGATAAAGGAAATATCTTCCAATAAAAGCTAGATAGAAGCAATGTCAGAAACTTTTTCATGATGTATCTACTCAGCTAACAGAGTTGAACCTTTCTTTTGAGAGAGCAGTTTTGAAACTCTCTTTTTGTGGAATCTGCAAGTGGATATTTGTCTAGCTTTGAGGATTTCGTTGGAAACGGGATTACATATAAAAAGCAGACAGCAGCATTCCCAGAAACTTCTTTGTGATGTTTGCATTCAAGTCACAGAGTTGAACATTCCCTTTCATAGAGCAGGTTTGAAACACTCTTTTTGTAGTATCTGTATGTGGACATTTGGAGCGCTTTCAGGCCTATGGTGAAAAAGGAAATATCTTCCCCTGAAAACTAGACAGAAGCATTCTCAGAAACTTATTTGTGATGTGCGCCCTCAACTAGCAGTGTGGAACCTTTCTTTTGATAGAGCAGTTTTGAAACACTCTTTTTGTAATATCTGCAAGAGGATATTTGGATAGCTTTGAGGATTTCGTTGGAAACGGGATTGTCTTCATATAAACTCTAGACAGAAGCATTCTCAGAAGCTTCATTGGGATATTTCAATTGAAGTCACAGTGTTGAACAGTTCCTTTCATAGAACAAGTTTGAAACACTCTTTTTGTAGTATCTGGAAGTGGACATTTGGAGCGCTCTCAGGACTACGGTGAAAAAGGAAATATCTTCCAATAAAAGCTTCATAGAAGCAATGTCAGAAACTTTTTCATGATGTGTCTACTCAGCTAACAGAGTTGAACCTTTCTTTTGAGAGAGCAGTTTTGAAACACTCTTTTTGTGGAATCTGGAAGTGGATATTTGTCTAGCTTTGAGGATTTCGTTGGAAACGGGATTACATATAAAAAGCAGGCAGCAGCATTACCAGTAACTTCTTTGTGAAGTTTGCATTCAAGTCACAGAGTTGAACATTCCCTTTCATAGAGCAGGTTTGAAACACTCTTTTTGTAGTATCTGGATGTGGACATTTGGAGCGCTTTCAGGCCTATGGTGAAAAAGGAAATATCTTCCCCTGAAAACTAGACAGAAGCATTCTCAGAATCTTATTTGTGATGTGCGCCCTCAACTAACAGTGTTGAAGCTTTCTTTTGATAGAGCAGTTTTGAAACACTCTTTTTGTAAAATCTGCAAGAGGATATTTGGATAGCTTTGAGGATTTCGTTGGAAACGGGATTGTCTTCATATAAACTCTAGACAGAAGCATTCTCAGAAGCTTCATTGGGATGTTTCAATTGAAGTCACAGTGTTGAACAGTCCCTTTCATAGAGCAGGTTTGAAACACTCTTTTTGTAGTATCTGGAAATGGACATTTGGAGAGATCTCAGGAATACGGTGATAAAGGAAATATCTTCCAATAAAAGCTAGATAGAAGCAATGTCAGAAACTTTTTCATGATGTATCTACTCAGCTAACAGAGTTGAACCTTTCTTTTGAGATAGCAGTTTTGAAACACTCTTTTTGTGGAATCTGCAAGTGGATATTTGTCTAGCTTTGAGGATTTCGTTGGAAACGGGATTACATATAAAAAGCAGACAGCAGCATTCCCAGTAACTTCTTTGTGATGTTTGCATTCAAGTCACAGAGTTGAACATTCCCTTTCATAGAGCAGGTTTGAAACACTCTTTTTGTAGTATCTGGATGTGGACATTTGGAGCGCTTTCAGGCCTATGGTGAAAAAGGAAATATCTTCCCCTGAAAACTAGACAGAAGCATTCTCAGAAACTTATTTGTGATGTGCGCCCTCAACTAACAGTGTTGAACCTTTCTTTTGATAGAGCAGTTTTGAAACACTCTTTTTGTAATATCTGCAAGAGGATATTTGGATAGCTTTGAGGATTTCGTTGGAAACGGGATTGTCTTCATATAAACTCTAGACAGAAGCATTCTCAGAAGCTTCATTGGGATGTTTCAATTGAAGTCACAGTGTTGAACAGTCCCTTTCATAGAGCAGGTTTGAAACACTCTTTTTCTAGTATCTGGAAGTGGACATTTGGAGAGATCTCAGGAATAAGGTGACAAAGGATATATCTTCCAATAAAAGCTAGATAGAAGCAATGTCAGAAAATTTTTCATGATGTATCTACTCAGCTAACAGAGTTGAACCTTTCTTTTGAGAGAGCAGTTTTGAAACACTCTTTTTGTGGAATCTGCAAGTGGATATTTGTCTAGCTTTGAGGATTTCGTTGGAAACGGGATTACATATAAAAAGCAGACAGCAGCATTCCCAGTAACTTCTTTGTGATGTTTGCATTCAAGTCACAGAGTTGAACATTCCCTTTCATAGAGCAGGTTTGAAACACTCTTTTTGTAGTATCTGGATGTGGACATTTGGAGCGCTTTGAGGCCTATGGTGAAAAAGGAAATATCTTCCCCTGAAAACTAGACAGAAGAATTC